>NC_000012.12:42157097-42308612 GCF_000001405.40 Homo sapiens | reverse complement strand
AGTACTTGTCTAGCAGAGAATGCCCTTCTTGCTGGATATGACTAATGGTTTTTTGGGTTTTTTTTTTTTCCTTCTGCAGTCATTTATTTACTCATTGCTTTTTTGACTAGATGCCTTATTCTGAAATTGTCAATTACAGTTTTCAGATTATCATGAAATTCAATTATGCCCACATATGACATTTATAAATTTTGCATGTTAATTTATTCCTTTGTTTTATATGCTAAAGATGTGTGTTTATATATGCCAGGTGTGGTGGCATGCACCTGTAGTCCCAGCTCCTGGAGAGGCTAAGGTGGGAGGTTCCCTTGAGACCAGGAATTTAAGTCCAGCTGGGCAACAGAGTAAAACCCTGTCTCTAAAAAACAAATAAAAGTGAATTTAAATAATATTTTTGGCCAGGTGTAGTGGCTCATGCCTATAATCCCAGCACTTTGGGAGGCCAAGGCAAGAGGATCTCTTGAAGCCAGGAGTTCAAGACCAGCCTAGGCAGCAAAGTGAGACCCTGACTTTATAAAAATAAAAAATAACTGTTTTTAATTTAAAAAATTAAAAACTATGTTTTAAATGCTTAAATATTAAAACCTTGATTACCATACCTAGAAAAGTACTTGAAAGCTTTACATAGAATATGCCATAGATCAGTAACTTAGGTTCAATCATTGATGGAGGGCTGGAAATGTAATTTTTAAAGTGGGGAGAAAACTATTGGATCATATAACTAAGTCATTCAGCTTCAGAAATGGATAAAAGAGATAAAAATATAATTAGAAATCTATTTTTCTTTGTCTTACCACCGCTTTCCTCTGTACTTCCTTTATTTCTCAACAAGCTTTCTTCATATGGTGGTAGAGATGACCACCAGTATCTCTAAAGGTAGGAATCCCAACAAAGAAAACCCCTTTCCCAGTGGTCCCAGCAAAAGTTCCAAGAAAGCCCTGATTGGCTAGGTCTCTGTCACAGTCCCCATTCCTGGAAATAAGGAAGAGAGTCAGTCCCACCCCGACTACATAGAGTGAAAGTGTTCCTATGCAACGCGGGATCTATTTTCAGTTTGGAATCAATGTGGAAATTATCCTGTAAAAAGAATCTTAAGCTTAAAACCCTCCTTTCAACATTTCCCAGGGCAGAATACTGAGACGGCTGAGCAGAGCACACAAAGAAAATAAAGATTCAGCCTGGGCGCAGTGGCTCACGCCTGTAATCTCAACACTTTGGGAGACTGAGGCAGGTGGATCACCAGAGGTCAGGAGTTCAAGACCAGCCTGACCAACATAGTGAAACCCTGTCTCTACTAAAAATACAAAATTAGCCGGGTGTGGTGGCCCATGCCTGTAATCCCAGCTACTTGGAAGGCTGAGGCAGGAGAATTGTTTGAACCCAGGAGGCGGAGGCTGCAGTGAGCTGAGATCATGCCACTGCACTCCAGCCTGGGCAACAGAGACTCTGTCTCAAAAAAAAAAAAAAAAAAAAAAGAAAGAAAGAAAAGAAAAGAAAAAGAAAAAAAGGAAAAGAAAGAAAAGAAATATATATGGAAGAAAGTGAAAACCTCCTTGGAAAGCAGTGTGATCAGCACTATTACTTAAACTAACAATGCGAACAGTGGCAGTCAGACTGAGCCCTCAGTCCAGAGAATGGGAGTAAGCCACTATCAATTGTTTTAAAACACTCCATCTATAAGATCCAAATTTTAAGAATCCTTATATACTGCTATAGATAAAGACAACCAGTTAACATTTTTAGTTAAGATATGGCACCTAGAAATAAGCAGACCAGAAACATAAAAGCTTTTATAGAAAGCAGATTCCTGAAGTGCATGTTGCACTTTTCATCAGCACATCTTTGCAAGATGCATGGCTTCATGTGAAACACATAATCTTGTTTTTTCATAGAGATGGTATAGTTTGGTTAGAGCCTCATAAGTATATTTAAGATAAGTTAAATACTAAAAATGGCTTTTAACAAATTATCTGAAAGACAAATTATATCACATATTTAGCACTATGTTTCAGGCACTGTTCTAAACACATTATAAATATGAAATAATTGAATCCCTTTTAGGTATTGTTTTCATCATTATACAGATGACAGAACTAAGGCACAGAGAGGCAAAGTAATTCACCCAAAGTCACACAGCCAGTAAGTAGCACGATAACGTTTTAAATGCAGGGTACAATGTATGTTATTTTGGAGATGGATACACAAAAAAGCCCTATGCATGACTTACCAAAAATAAATAAATAAATAAAATTTAAAAATAAAAGAAAAAGGCCAGGTGCGGAGGCTCATGCCTGCAATCCCAGCACTTTGGGAGGCCGAGGCGGGCGGATCACCTGAGGTCGGGAGTTCGTGACTAGCCTGACCAACGTGGAGAAACCCCGTCTCTATTAAAAGTAGAAACTCACTGGGTGTGGTGGCGCATGCCTGTAATCCCAGCTACTCGGGAGGCTGAGGCAGGAGAATCACTTGAACCCAGGAGGCGGAGGTTGCGGAGCCGAGATCGGGCCATTGCACTCCAGCCTGGGCAAAAAGAGTGAAACTCCGTCTCAAAAAAAGAAAAGAAGAAGAAAAGCCCTGACTTCACCACTACTCAATATATACATGTAACACTTGTACCCCATAAATTTATACAAAGAAAATTTTTAAAAATAAAAGAAATAAAGCCAAGCAAACTTGCTCTAGAGTCGATATACTATCTCTATGCTATGATGCTTCTCTAAAAAAGTACTCAAATTATATGACTGGCCAGGCGCAGTGGCTCACGCCTGTAATCCCAGCACTCTGAGAGGCCAATGGGGATGGATCACCTCAGGTCAGGAGTTTGAGATCAGCCTGCCCAACATGGCGAAACCCTGTCTCTACTAAAAATACAAAAATTAGCCAGGCATGGTGGCACGCGCCTGTAGTCCCAGCACTCAGGAGGCTGAGGCAGGAAAATCCCTTGAATCCAGGAGGTGGAGGTTGCAGTGAGCAGAGATCGTGCCACTGCACTCCAACCTGGGTGACAGAGCGAGACTCCATCTCAAAAAAAAAAAAAAAAAAATATATATATATATATATATATATATATATAGTACTGCCTTATCAACTAGGAGATGGTGGTTTTAAATTTCATTTTACGTGCATAAGAATAACAATTTGTTTTATTATATCTTAATGATTTTTCTGTAGGTGGAAACATTTTTGGAATAACCAACAAATTTTAAAGTTAAAAGACTAAATCTATCATGCCCTAGTGCTTTCTTTAAAAAAATTAAAAATAATTTCCACTTAGAAGTTTAATGAGGTCTCAGACTTATCTGTCCACTACTGAATCCCTGGTCTCCCAAACCAGCTATACTCCCAACTTTTCCCATTTCTGTTTGGTTTCGTCTTGAGACAGAGTCTCACTCTGTTGCTCAGGCTGGAATGCAGTGGCACCATCATAGCTCACTGCAGTCTTGACCTCCCAGGTTCAAGTGATCCTCCCACCTCAACCTCCCAGGAAGCTGGGACTACACCTGCGTGCCACCACTCCCACCTATTTTTTTTTTTTTTTTTGTAGAGTTGGGGTCTCCCTACGTTGCCTAGACTGGTCTTGAACTCCTGGGCTCAAGCAATCCTCCCACCTCAGCCTCCCAAAGTGCTGAGATTACAATTTTGAACCACCATGCCTGGCTTCCATTTCTGTTAATGTTAACTCCATTAGCCGAGGCCAAAGAATTTGGAGTTATCCTCGTTTCCTCTTTTTTTTTTGAGACAGAGTCTCGCTGTGTTGTTCAAGCTGGAGTGCAGTAGCATGATCTCGGCTCACTGAAACCTCCACCTCCCAGGTTCAAGAGATTCTCCTGCCTCAGCCTCCCAAGTAGCTGGGATTACAGATGCCCGCCACCATGCCCAACTAATTTTTTTTGTATTTCTTTTAGGTAGAGATGGGGTTTCACTATGTTGGCCACGCTGATCTTGAACTCCTGACCTTGTGATCCGCCTGCCTTGGGCTCCCAAAGTGCTGGGATTACAGGCATGAGCCACCATGCCAGGCCATCTCCTTTCTTTTTCTTATACCCCCACAACTAAGTCACAAGCTGTTGGCTCTGTCTTTAAAATATGTTCAGCTATATGGAGTTAATCTACTGCAATCACCTTGGCCCATGACACCATCTCACTAGAATTACTGCAATTGCTTTTTTTTTTTTTTTTTTTTTTTTTTTTAGACAGAGTCTCACTCTATCGCCAGGCTGGAGTGCAGTGGTGTGATCACAGCTCACTGCAACCTCCAATTCCCTGGTTCAAGGGATTCTCCTCCCTCAGCCTCCCAAGTAGCTGGGATTATAGGCACGCGCCACCATGCCCAGCTAATTTTTGTATTTTTATAGAGATGGGGTTTCACCACATTGGCCAGGATGGTCTCAATCTCCTGACCTCGTAATCTGCCTGCCTCAACCTCCCAAACTCCTGGGATTATAGGCATGAGCCACTGTACCCCACCTGCAGTTGCCTCCTAAGTACTCTGCATAGAGCTGCCAGAGTGATCCTTTTAAAAGTAACACAGGCCGGGTGCGGTGGCTCATGCCTGTAATCCCAGCACTTTGGGAGGCCGAGGTGGGTGGATTACCTAAGGTCAGGAGTTCAAGACCAGCCTGGCCAATGTGGTGAAACCCCATCTCTACTAAAAAAATACAAAAATGAACCAGGCATGGTGGCAGGTGCCTGTAATCCCAGCTACTGGGGAGGCTGAGGCAGAAGAATCACTTGAACCTGGGAGGCGGAGGTTACAGTGAGCCGAGATCACACCATTTCACTCTTGCCTGGAAGACAAGAGCGAAACACCATCTCAAAAAAAGTAAGACAGATATAACCCTCCACTCAAAAGTCTCCCCTGGCTTTTCATCTTCCCCAGAGTTAAAGCTGAAGTTTTAACAATGACTTAGATATATAAAGTTCCAAAAGAAGGGCTCTGTCTCTCTCATCTCATCACCTACAATTCACCTCCTAGGTTTGTCTACTATAGCCACTGTGGCCTCCTTACTGTCTCTCACATTCACCAGACAGGCAGGCACCCACCTGAGAACTTTTGCAATAGCTGCACAGTCAGTTTAAGCATTCTTCCTCCTGGTTTGTTTTCCTCCCTCCCTCCCTCCTTCATTCCCTCCTTCTTTCCTCCTTCCTTCCTCCTTCCTTCCTCCCTTCCCCACCATGCCCCCCATCCTCTACCCATATAAACCCCAAACCCCAGAATTACATGAGGAGACGACAAGACAACCAGATGAACAGCAGAACGACATGGCAGAGAAAGAGAAGAGGAATCTCTGAATGCCAAGAGGAGTTCTGCTGGGGTGGTCAGACAGGAGTTCAGCAGCTGGATGGCCAAACTCCAGGGGAAGATCATCTTCCCACTCCATCCCCACTTCCGGCTCCCCATCCATCCCACTGAGAGCCACCTCCACTGCTCAATAAAACCCTTGCATTCATCGCTCAAGTTCGTGTGTGACCTGATTCTTCTGGGACGCTGGACAAGAGCCTGGCATATAGAGAGCTGTCACACTGGCCCTGTGCCCTTGCAGAAAGGCAGAGGGTCCACTGAGCTGGTTAACACTGAAGTTGTCCACGGACGGCAAGGCCAAAAGGGCACACTGTAACACACACCCACTTGGGCTCCTGCACCTGTCTGTCTGTGTGCTCCCCTTCCTATAAGGGGTTTAGCCATGGCAGTGACTGAACAGATGAGCCATACCCTGTCGCATGTCCTGTGAGGGGGGTCAAGGAATTCTCCAGTTTCATCTGGGGGCTTGTCCAGGATACAGTTGAAGAACGGTGAGTTAAAATGTGACACTAGGCTGGGAGTAGTGGCTCATGCCTGTAATCCCAGCACTTTGGGAGGCCAAGGTGAGGGGATCATGAGGTCAGGAGATCGAGATCATCCTGGCTAACATGGTGAAATCTCATCTCTACTAAAAATACAAAAAAAATTAGCCGGGCGAGGTGACAGGCACCAGTAGTCCTAGCTACTTGGGAGGCTGAGGCAGAAGAATGGCGTGAACCCAGGAGGCGGAGCTTGCAGTGAGCCGAGATCGCGCCACTGCACTCCAGCCTGGGCGACAGAGCGAGACTCTGTCTCAAACAAACAAACAAAAGTTAAACTGTCAGATCTGCCTCTTTCCCAAGACCCTGCCACTGTGCCCGGCCAGCCTCTTAAGTATACCAAGTTATCCATGATAGACCAAGGATTTGATGAAAATCCCACTGCCTTCTTGGAAAGGCTAGGAGAGGCCTTTGTAAAGCACACCTCTCTATCTCCTGACTCTGTCGAGGGATAACTTATCCTAAAGGGTAAATTTATTACTCAGGCAGCCCCTGATATCAGGAGGAAGTTGCAGAAACAGGCCCTGGGACCAGATAGTACTTTGGAGAACCTCCTGAAAGTAGCCACCTCGGTTTTTTATGATAGAGATAGGAAGGCCCAGGAGAGAGACAGGAAATACAGGAAAGAGACAGAGGCTTTAATGGCCACCAGACAAGCCCACTAAGTCCAGAATTCCCAGGGTACACCTGTTAACTGCTACAAGTGTGGCAAGCCATGGCATTTCAAGAAGAATTGCCCAGGCAGCATGAGGAAGCCACCTCGACCCTGACAGTATTTTCAAGAAGTTGTCGGAAGCATAGCTGTTTCCTATTAATACCGCCTTGATTTCTAGAAACTCAAAAAAGTTCTCAATTAATATTAGACTATTAGGAAAGACCATAGAATGGTTGTATGGTTACTTGAGGTATAGTTTCTACTGAATAAGTATCACTTTTGCACCATCATAAAATCAAAAAATTGTTAAGTTGAACCATTGGAAATTGGGGACCATCTGTACTTAATTAAGTAAGCTAGAGTAGCCTTGTCAGCTTGGTTCACAACCTCATCTTTGTCTCATTCCCCAAGGAAAAAAATGGAAAAATACTATGCTAAATGCTGTTCATAGTGCCAAATAATTCAAATTACAAAGGCAGAAGTGTGGTCAGGATATATAGAAGTCGCATGATCACTGTTCTGTATTCAGTTGTAGTTATGGGGAAAAGTCTGTATACTAAGTTCCCACATGGAGAAAACTTATACAATTAGAAGCAGAGTATTATTAACTTTACAGGCAGAATCTGGGGTTTGAAATTCAAGCCAACTGCAAAGAAACTGATCATATCCAGAGGGGAAACATCTCTGGATCCAAAATAGAGGGATGAGGTCACACAGTAATATAAACCTGGACTAACACACCTGTCTACTGCTCTCTTAGTAGTTTAACAGGTTGAACAGATTAATCCTAGTGAGTGTAAATTACTCCTTAGAACAGAACATGTTTCAGGAGATGTCATCTGATGTATTTGTTTGTTTGAGACAGGGTCTGTCTCTGTCACCCTGGCTGGAGTGCAGTGGCATGATCACGGCTTACTGCAGCCTTGAACACCTGGACTCAGGTGATCTTCTAACCTCATCCTCCTGAGTAGCTGAGATTACAGATGCATGCTGCTGTGTCCAGCTTTTTAAAAAAATTTTATAAAGACAGGGTCTCGCTTCATTGCCCAGGCTGGTCTCAAACTCCTGGCCTCAAGCAATACTCCCGCCTTGGTTTCCCAAAATGTTGGGTTTACAGGCATGAGCCACTGCACCCAGCCTTATATGTGTATTTTATTTTATTTGTATTTATTTATGTATTTATTACTTATTTTCGAGATGGAGTCTCTCTCTGTCACCCAGGCTGGAGTGCAGTGGCATGATCTCTGCTCACTGCAGCCTCCACCTCCAGGGTTCAAGCGATTCTCGTGCCCCAGCCTCCCGAGTGGCTAGGATTACAGGCATGAGCCACCATGCTGGGCTAATTTTTGTATTTTTAGTAGAGATAGGGTCTTGCCATGTTGGCCAGGTTGGTCTTGAACTCCTGACCTCAGGTGATTCGCCCACCTCGGCCTCCCAAAGTGCTGGGATTACAAGCTTGAGCCACCACACCCAGCCTATTTATTTATTTTTTTAGACAGCATTTCACTCTTATTGCCCAGACTGGAGGGCAATGGTGCGATCTCGGCTCACTGCAACCTCTGCCTCCTGGATTCAAGTGATTCTCATGCCTCAGCCTTCAGAGAGGAGCTGGGATTATAGGCACCTGCCACCACTCCTGGCTAATTTTTTGTATTTTTAGTTTCACCATGTTGGCCAGGCTGGTCTTGAACTCCTGACCTCAGGTGATCCGCCCGCCTTGGCCTCCCAAAGTGCTGGGATTACAGGCATGAGCCACTATGCCCAGCTATATATTTTAAAAAGAAGTAATGAGGATCCTTTAAAAATGTTTTATCTCTTATTCTCTTTATCTCTAATAATACTGAAAATAAGAATTCAGAGGTTTCTTCTAAATTAGGGCTTTCTATGTGTGAAAACTACTTACCAGACGAGTACAAGATGACTCAGAAATACACACACACATGCACACACACACACAGACAGCACAGAGAGAGAGAGAGACATATACACAGAATTTCCATATGACTCAGGGACTCTTGCAGACAGACCCCAGCAGAAAAGCAACTGGCAAAGAAATGTGGTTTGCAAAATCCCAGAACCAACATCACAAAACAGGTCTCAAGGTGAAAGACAATACCTTAATAACCAGCATACTTTAATCCCTATACTTTTTGCTGTGCACTGAATGTGTGTGTCCCCCGCCCCAAAATTCATGTGTTGAAGCCCCCACCCAATGTGATGGTATTTGGAGGTGGGGCCTTAGGGAGGTGATTAGGGTCAGACGAGGTTATGAGGATAAAGCACCCATGATAAGGTTTGTACCCTTGGAAGATGAAGGAACCTGCGCTTGCTCTCTCTCTCTCCACCATGTGCGGATATAGCAAGAAGGCAGCTGTCTGTGAACAAGTGGGAGGGCCCTGACCATGTTGGCACCCTCATCTCAGACTTCCAGCCACCAAAACTGTAAGAAATAAATGTTTGTTGTTTAAGCCACCCAGTCTATGGTTTTGTTTTGTTTTTCTTTGTGCAGTGGCGCGATCTTAGACTACAGCCTGGGCACCAAAATGAAACTCGGTCTCAAAAAAAAAAAATTTATTCACCTACTTTCTGAAAGGTTTCTAGTTTCTCATAATAGTCTTCTCATTTTCATTTCTCATTATGTTCTTGTTGAGTTTTGGTGTCAAGGTCATTATATTGGTCTTACATCCTCTAATACAGATTTTTTTTAATAGGCATTATTTCTTTCTTAAATGTTGCTTGAAAGTATATAGGAAAGCCATCTTGACTTGAAGCTTTTTTTGTGTGGCAATTAATTATGGGCTCAATTTGTTTAACAGCTATAAGATTATTTTGATTATCTAGTCTGTCTGTCTTTCTTTCCTTCCTTCCTTTCTTCCTTTCTTCCTTCCTTCCTTCTTTTTCTTTTTTTTTTTTTTTTTTTTTTGACAGAGTCTTGCTACAGTGCAGTGGCACGAACATGGCTCACGGCAGATTTGACCTCCCGAATTCAAGTGATCCTCCCCCACCACAGCCACCCTAGTAGCTGGGACTATAGGCACGTGCCACAACACCCAGCTAATATTTGTCTTTTTTGTAGAGATGGGATTTCACCATGTTGCCCAAGCTGGTCTTGAATTCCTGGGCTTAAGTAATCAGCCTGCCTCAGCCTCCCAAAGTGTTGGGATTACAGGTGTGACCCACCATACCTGGCCTGATTATCTAGTTTTCTTGTATCATATTAGATAAGTTGTATTTTTCTAGGAATTTGATCATTTTTTCTAACATTCCAAAAATTGTTAGTATAAAATTGTTCATAATTTCCTCTTAGTGACTTTTTTAAAAGCTTAGAACAAAAGGTTATTTGTGTCTTCTCTTCATTTTTATTTATCAGTTTCACCAGAGGTTTATCCATTTAATTTTAGCTGTGTCGATCTTTTCAACTCTATGGGATTTTTTATTTTGCTAATTTCTACTCTTATCTGCATTTTTTCCTACTCTGACCTTTTGGGCTTTATTTTGTCGTCCTTTTCCCTAACTTCCTGAAATGAATGAGTAGATTCGTTTCCTGTTTCCTAATATACACATTTAGCTTATAAATTAACTTCTAAGTACTCTTTAGCTGCATCACACAACCTTTTAATAAGCTGTATTTTTATTATAATTCAGTTCAAAATATTATCTAATTTCCACTGTGATTTCTTATTTGATCTATGAGTTATTTGGTAATGTATTTCTAAATTTCCAAACATATGAGTATTTTCTATTATCTTGTATAATAAATTGCTAGATTGGGTTAATTTTGGTCAGAAAATGTACTATATATCATTTCAGTCCTTTGAAATGTGTTTAGGCTCTACTGCACAACAAATAGTCAACTTTTATAAATGATCTTTTCATCTTTGAAAAAAATGTGAGGGCAGGGTGTGGTGGCTCACGCCTGTAATCCCAGAACTTTGGGAGATGGAGGCAGGTGGATCATTTGAGGTCAGGAGTTCAAGACCAGCCTGGCCAATATGGTGAAACCCCATCTCTACTAAAAATACAAAAATTAGCCGGGCATGGTGGCTGGCACCTGTAATCCCAGCTACTCGGGAGGCTGAGGCAGGAGAATCACTTGAACCTGGGAGACAGAGGCTGCAGTGAGCCCAGATCCTGCCACTGCACTCCAGCCTGGGCAACAGAGTGAGACTCCATCTCAAAAACAAGAAAAAGAAAAAGAAAAAAAAAAATGTGAATTCTGCAAGCAATTAAAGCAAGTAATAAAAGCAAGTTTGTTAATTATATTTTTTGAATCTAGGAACTGATTTTCTTTTCTGTTTATCAATTACTGACAGAGGAGTATTAAGATCTTCCATTCTGATTAAGGATGTATCTATTTATTCTTATGGTTCTGTCCATATTTGCTTTATATTTTGTTAAGGCCATGTTACTAGTCACCATAGAAATTCAGAATTTTTTTATACCTTCCTGTAAATTGAACCTTTTTATCATTATAAAGTGCTCCTCTTTATAAGGGTAGTTACTTTTGCTTAACAGCTAGAACAGCTTCTTTCGGTCAGCCATTTTGTACTATATATTTTTCCATATTTTTACTTTCAATCCTTCTGTATTATGATGTTTCAGCTATGCCTCTTGTATGCAAAATACATTTGGGTATTTTTTTTAATTGGTTCTGAAAAATTCTGTATTTAATTAGAACATTTTAGTCTATGTATCAGTCTAGGTCCTATCAAGAGTCAGAGACCACGATGGTAATTTGAAGAGGAAATATAATATAAAGAAGTATTAAATAAAATGAGCAACAGAGCCGACCCTGTCCCAAAATAATACTACTATTAAATGTTATTTAATGGTACTAAATAAAATTGGGGTAAAAGGGATTGATTAGTAAGAAGCAAAGATAATTCTCATAAATATAGCAGGTTAAAGGAATAGCCACAGCCAGTTTCCATGGCTCACTCCTGTAATCCCAGCACTTTGGGAGGCTGAGGCAGGTGGATCACTTGAGTTCAGGAGTTCAAGACCAGCCTAGCCAACACGCGCCATTACAGTCCAGCCTGGGCAACAGAGTGAGACTGACTCAAAAAAAAAAAAAAAAAAAAGGAACAGCCACTACTCTAGACCCCGGGGTAGAACATCCAAGGAAAAGTACAACTCACACCCCTGCCACTCTAGGGCAAAGAGATCATGGCCATGGCTCATCAGATGGCAAAAAAAAAGTCTCTCTGGTGCCAGATGGGTGGAACTTTCTAGAAATCCACCTTCTGGAACTTACTGGAATTCTTCACACCAGGGTGCCAGGGAAAGGGGGAAGGTGATGTATGCCACAGAAGCTGGATGCTAAGAAGGGGAGCATGCTGCAGGAACCTCAGGATGGAGTGCAGGGGCCCCCGGAAGTTAAAACCTTTTCTTTTTGCAATGTCTCTCTAGCGCCCTCTACTGATAGTTTCTGTGCCATCTGGCAAGAGAAAACTTAAAAGGCCCAGAACCATTTTCACAGAGCAGAAAACAGGGTGAATTTGGAGCTGAGAGCCCATAGATAAATAACACACAGTCCATTTATACTTTAACATTATTACTAATATATTTGATCTTAAATCTATGTGTTTTGTATTTGTCCTACTTGTTTTATGTTCCTTTTAGTCCCCTTTCTTGCTTTTTTTTTTTTTTTTTTTTGAGACAGAGTCTGGCTCTGTCGCCCAGGCTGGAGTGCAGTGGTGCGATCTCGGCTCATTGTAACCTCCACCTCCCAGGTTCAAGCGATTCTTCTGCCTCAGCCTGCCGAGTAGCTGGGACTACAGGCGACCGCCACCATGCCTGGCTAATTTTTTTATTTTTACTAGAGATGGGTTTCACCATGGTTAGCCAGGATGGTCTCCATCTCCTGACCTCACGATCCGCCCACATTGGCCTCCCAAAGTGCTGGGATTACAGGCATGAGCCACCGCACCTGGCCGCCTTTTTAAAAAAACTTATTTTTGTAGGCTGGACTGGGTGGCTCACGCCTGTAAACCCAGCACTTTTGGAAGTGGAGGCAGGTGGATTGCCTGAGCTCAAGAGTTCAAGACCAGCCTGGGCAACGTGACAAAACCTTGTCTTTACCAAAAATACAAAAATTAGCCGGTTGTGGTGGTGCACAACTGTAGTTACAGCAACTCAGGAGGCTGAGGTGGGAAGATCGCCTAAGTCTGGGAGGTGGAGGTTGCAGTGAGCCAAGATCAGCCACAGCACTCCAGCCTAGGCAACAGAGCTAGACCCTGTCTCAAAAATAGTAACAATAAATAAATATAAAATAAAAATTATTTTTGTAATTTCCTTTCCTCTATTTCCTTTCCTCTATTAGCCTGGAAAATATGCATTATTTTGCTTCTGTTTTAGATATTATCCTCTAGATTATAGAATAATTATTTTCCTTAAAAAATTTTAACAGCCTTATTGATTTTGTTTGTTTGTTTTGAGACAGGGTCTTCCTCTGTCACCCAGGTAGGAATGCAGTGGCACAATCTTGGTCCACTGCAGCCTGGAACTCCCAGGCTCAAGCCGTCCTCCCAAGTGGCTGGGACTACAGGCCTGCACCAGCACGCCTGGCTAATTATTTAAAATTTTCTGCAGAGAGGAGGTCTCCCTATGTTGCCCAGGCTTCTCTCGAACTCCTGGACTCAAGGGATCCTTCCGCCTCAGGCTCCCAAAGTGCTGGGATTACGGGTGCCGCGCCGGGTATTAACAGCTTTATTGAGGTGAAATATACATATCATAAAATTCACTCATTTTGGCGGGCACGGTGGAGTGTAAAATGGTTTGATCACTTTACAAAATAGTCTGACAATTTCTTAAAATATCAAACATAGATTTATCTATTTTATCTGTTGTGATATCAAACCTAGATTTATCTTTTACCCAGCAGATTTACTGCTACATATTTACCCCCCAAAATAAAAATGTATGTCCACCCAGAGTCTTGTACATAAATGGTCATAGAAACGTTATTCATAGTGGCTGAAAAGTGGAAGCAATGCCAATATGATGTTTTCACAACTCTGTAAAATCACTAAGAAATTATTCAATTGTACAGTTAAGATGATTGAATTTTTCTTTTTTTTTTTTTTTTTTTTTCTTTTTTTGAGCTGGAGTCTCGCTCTGTTGCCAGACTGGAGTGCAATGGCACGATCTGGGCTCACTGCAACGTCCTGCTCACTGCAATGTCCGACTCCCTGGTGCAAGTGATTTTCCTGCCTTAGCCTCCCAAGTAGCTGGGATTACAGGCACGCACCACCACGCCCAGCTAATTTTTGTATTATTAGTGGAGATGGGGTTTCACCATGTTGGCCAGGATGTTCTCGATCTCCTGACCTCGTAATCCGCCAGCCTCAGCCTCCCAAAGTGCTGAGATTACAGGCGTCATCCACCACGCCCAGCCTATTTGTCTTCTTATCACTGAGGTGTAAGAGTTCTTCATATATTCTGGTTATGAGTCCCTTCTTAGGTATATGATTTACAAATATTTCTCCAGATTTGTGGCTTGTCTTTTCACTTCCTTACTGTGTCCTTTGAAGGACAAAAGTTTTTAACTTTGAAGTTCAGTTTATTAGTATTTTTATCTTATTATTTGTGCTTTTGATGTTTTGCCTTAACCCAAGACCATGAAAATTTACTTCTATGTTTTCTTGCAGAATTTTCATAGGTCTAGCTCTTACATTTATGTTTATGATCCATTTTGAGTTTATTTATTTATTTATTTATTTATTTTGAGACAGGGTCTCACTCTGTTACCCAGGCTGGAGTGCAGTGGAGCAATGTCGGCTCACTGCTACCTCTGCCTCCCAGGCTCAAGCCATTCTCCAACCTCAGTCTGCCAACTAGCTGGGACTACAGGTGGGCACCACCAGGCCCAGCTAATTTTTTTGTGTTTTTAGTAGAGACGGGGTTTCACCATGTTGGCCAGGCTGGTCACGAACTCCTGATCTCAGGAGATCCTCCCACCTCGGCCTTTCAGAGGGCTGGGATTACAGGCGTAAGCCACTGTGCCCAACCATTTTGAATTTATTTTTGTGTATGGTATGAGGCAAGGGTCTAAATTCATTGTCTTGCATGTGGGTATCCAATTGTTCCAGCAATATTTGTTGATTAAAAACTATTCTATTCTGCTGGGCACGGTGGCTCACTCCTGTAATCCCAGCAATTTGTGAGGCAGAGGCGGGCAGATCATCTGAGGCCTGGAGTTCGAGACCAGCTTGGCAAACATGGTGAAACCCCCGACTGTACTACAAATACAAAAATTACCCCGGTGTGGTGGCAGGTGCCTCTAATCCCAGCTATTCGGGAGGCTGAAGCAGGAGAATCGTTTGAACCCGGGAGGCAGAAGTTGCAGTGAGCTGAGATCACACCACTGCACCACTCCAGCCTGGGAAACAGAGCTAGACTCTGTCTCAAACAAACAAAAACAAAAAACTATCCTTTCTCTTATTGAATCACCTCAGCACCTTTGTTGAAAATCAATTTACAGTAAGTATAACGGCTTATATCTGGACTTGAAAAATGACATACCATATTCTAATGGTAATTAGTACTTTACCTCGTTTTATTTTGTTTATGTTTTTTGGGGTTTTTTTGAGATGGAGTCTCGCTCTGTTGCCCAGGCTAGAGTGCAGTGGTGCGATCTCGGCTCACTGCAACCTCTGTCCCCTGGGTTCAGGCGATTCTCCTGCCTCAGCCTGCTGAGTAGCTGGGATTACAGGTGCCCACCACCATGGCTGGCTAATTTTTTTTTTTTTTTTTTTTTTGAGAGGGAGTTTCACTCTTGTTGCCCAGGCTGGAGTGCAATGATGCGATCTCGCCTCACCGCAACCTTTGCCTCCCAGGTTCAAGCGATTCTCCTGCCTCAGGCTCCAGAGTGGCTGGGATTACAGGCATGCAGCCGCCATGCCCGGCTAATTTTGTATTTTTAGTAGAGACGGGGTTTCTCCATATTGGTCAGGCTGGTCTCAAACTCCTGACCTCAGGTGATCTGCCCACCTCGGCCTTCCAAACCTCCCTTGTTTATACGCTAGTGTTATCATGCATTTCCATTCCTGCATATTGTTTCTTGTAAGTCCAATAAAGGAGGAAAGAAATTTTTATCATTGTTTTATGTAGTCCATGTTTATTTAGATCTACCCATATATCTACCACTTTTGTGCTCTTCATTCCTTCTTGCACCTGGGAACTTTGTATCTATGATCATTTTGTTTTTTGCCTACAGAATACCCTTTAGTATTTCCTTTAATTTGGGTCTGCCGGTGATAGACTATGTTAATTTTTGTTTGTGTAAAACATTCTTGAAGAATATTTTCTCTCATCATAAAATGTTGTTGACAATTATTACTATTATTATTATTATTATTAGCTCACTGAAAAAATTATTTCATTCTTTTCTGGTTTCCATCATCTTTTTAATTTTTTTTTTTTTTTTTTTGAGATAGGGTCCGGCTCTGTTGCCCAGGCTAGAATTCAGTGACATGATCTCGGCTCACTGCAACCTCTGCCTCCCAGGTTCAAGCAATTCTCCAGCCTCAGCCTCCCCAGTAGCTGGGACTACAGGCGCCCGCCACCATACCTGGCTAATGTTTTGTATTTTTAGTAGAGACGGCAATTTGACCATGTTGGCCAGGCTGGTCTCGAACTCCTGACCTCAAGTGATCTGCCTGCCAATGTGCTGAGATTACAGGCGTGAGCTACTGCACCCAGCCAAAAATTTTTTTTGTTTTTTTAATCTTTGGGATGTTATATTCTGGGAGCTCAGCCTTCAACTTTGTCAAAAATTCTGTGAAACTCCTGTACTGAGTGCCTAATTTTGATTATAATGATTTTCATTTCTAGAGGTTTTTTTTTTTTTCATATTTGCAGTTGGTTAAGGATAGCTGCAAACTCTTTGTCACTCTTCCAGTTGAGAGATGGAGTCCAACTGCTCCACGAATCTGGGCTGACTTTAGTGATTTGCTTGACCAATAGAATGCATCGGAAATGATGTTCTGTGATTTCCAAGGCTAGATCATAAAAGTTTTATGACTTCTACCTGAGCTTTTTGAAATGCTTGTGGAAATTCCAGCACTCAAGATGCTCTCTTTGGGACCCCAGCTATCTTGCTATAAAAGGCAAGAAACATGTAGGCACTTGTGGAAAGTTCTAGCTGAGCTCCCAGCAGAGAGCCAACACTACTACATGAAGCCATGCAAATGAATTATTTTGTATGTCTAATCCATTTACATCTTCAGATAACTGTCGCTCCAGCAGACAATTCCAAGGTTTGTAGTCAGACATGAGAGCAGATTAGGATCAGTACTGGGTTGTACTCAGTGCTTTTCTTTCTACTCTCTGTTTTATGCCATCATTTTCCCTTCTTGTTTTTTTTCTTCTTATTAATCCCCGGAGTTTTGGAAACCCCATTTTTCTATCACTTTTGCTGCTTTTTTTTTTTTTTTTTTTTGAGACAGAGTCTTGCTTTGTCACCTAGGCTGGAGTGTAGTGGCACAATCATAGCTTACTGCAGCCTCAACCTCCCAGGCTCAAGTGATTCTCCCACCTCAGCCTCCCAGGTAGCTGGGACTACACGTGCATGCCACCACACCCAGCTAATGTTTTCATTTTTTCTAGACATGGGGTCTTGCTATGTTGCTCAGCTGGTCTCAATCTCCTGGGCTAAGGCAATCCTCCCGCCTTGGTCTCTCGAAGTGCTGGGATTACAGGCATAAACCACTGCACCCAGCAAGCTGCCACTCTTTTATTCTTCTCCCTCTGGACATGAAAGAATCCATTTTAGACTCTAAAGAGAGGATAAGAAATGGGGCTGAATGCATATTAATACAGTTGGAATTAATGAGAGAAAACAATGTATGTAGAATGGACAAAAAACCATGTTTTAAGACCAAAATTTATGAAGTTATCCTGCAGAGTTAATAATAAATCGCCAGGAACAGTGACTTATGCCCGTAATTCCAGCATTTTGGGAGGCCAAGACAGGAGAATTTCTTGAGGACAAGTGTTCAAGATCAGCCTGGGCAATATAGTGAGACCCCATCTCTACAAAAAATAAAAACATTAGCCAGATGTGGGGATGAGTGCCTGTAGTTCCAGCTACTCTGGAGGCTAAGGCAGGAAGATCTCCTAAGCATAGGAGTTTGAGATTACAATGAGCTATGATCACACCACTGTACTCCAGCTTGAATGACAGAGTGAGACTCTGTCTCTTAAAAATTTTTTTTCAGAGTGATTAATAACTTATGCAAGTCTGGAAAAATAATTATGCCTATTATACTGCTATAGTTTATTGGAAATTATTTGCCTTACCAAATATAAAAGTATATGGAAATCCTGGCGTTGGGGAGGAAGATTAATGCCTCTTTTAGCCTAACACTGTAATATTTTAATATTTGTTTTTCAGGGAAACATTATTTGACCCATTACTTAAACAAAGTAATAAATCAGTGAGATAAAATGATAAGCAGTACTTTATGTATTATGTATAATATCTTAAGTTTATTTTTTTGTTTTCTATGCTTAATGGGCATTAATTACGTATTACTGAATATTCACTAAATATTAATCATGCATTGGGTATTTTTCAGAAATTTTATTTTGTTGATTGGGAAATATAAATGGGTCCTTCAAATTTTAGGTGGATAAATTATAAAACAATATGCCCTTTGTTTGCATTCATATAACTATATATTAAGCCATTATTTCCCGTATACTATTATTGCTACTTATAACATATATCCTACATTAAATGCTTACAGCGTGCCAAGAACCATTCTAAGCACTTTATTTATTTTTTCTTGTTAGCTGGATATATTTCTTTTTTCTTTTTTCTTTTTTTTTTTTTTGTCACAGAACAAACACTGTTTGCCGTAGAGGAAACTGGCATTGCAGTCTGGTGGCGTAATGGCTTGTTCATATAAACCAGTACATGTTCATCCTTTAGCGCAAAAAGCCCTAATGGCGCACATCCTATTAAAATTCAGGATCTCCAATATTCTCTCTCTCTGTTTTTCTTTGTCATCTTTTTTTTAAACATTTTCAAAGTTTGTCCAAAAGAAGGTCATATAGGTTCTTGGCTAGCAGAAGACAATTCAGAACAGCTGTTGCACATTTGGACTGTCACCTTCTCCAGGCTGGCAGTTGATATCTTATTTTTTTTCAACTCCTTTTTATTAAAAAAATTTTAAAAATGCTCCAACTGTCAGTTTTACAAAATCTGTAAGGGAAACACAAGAGCAAGGTGCTGAGGTAAAAAACACCTGAGGTAGCTTTTTTCTGTGTGTTTTTCTCGTTAAAATAATCTGTAAGTTTAACGCCCTGGGTCAACAACCTTGTATAAATTTCTACTTTCCTCCACATTTTTTTTTTAAAGAAAGAAATTATTTTGCTGAGTATTGATGGCTTATACACCAAAATGCAAAAAGACAAAATACATTCTTTCATTGTGGAATTTTTTCTTTGTTTGGTTGATTGGTTGGTTTGATAGGTTCCTGTTTTCCTCTTCCAAAATGCTAGGACAAGTACCATTGACTCTTGTTCTTTTGAGTAACCAAGTGTAAGTTGAGGCTGGTTTGTGTGTTTCGCTTTTGTTCCTTTTGTGTGATGTGATACTCAGAGCACTGCTTTGCCTGGCAGAGGGGGGTCAGGGGGGTGCGTAGATATGGGATTGAGATGGAGGGATGAGGGAATTCAAAAGAATGGAGATAGAGAAGAAGGGGAGGGGAGGGAGGGGAGAGATAGAGAGAGACAGAGAATTATATAGCAGTATGCAAAAAACCAGTTTAAAACCTGTGAAGCAAAGAGAAATGGGTGTATGACCTAGACAGGCATGAGGAGTGACAGAGTTTCCCCTTCAAGGAGACAGTATCCCTTCTGTTGACATACATAGGTGATCCAGAACTGCTGTGAGTGTCCTTCCGACAAAATTTCCTTCTGGGTGAATTTTGTGTGGGTGGCCTCGAAGGTCCTCTCTACACGGTGAGACCTTCTAAAGAAAGACTTTAAAGTCTAGAAAAGCCTGCTCTCTCTTTAAAAAGAAAAAAATAATAATTGATTAAAAATTGGAGTTAGTTATTTGATATATTATTTCTAAAATATATTACCGCTGCAGGCACCCTGTGTAACCCACAGGCCACATATCTTAACATCTTCCCCTTCTAATATGTATACACGTGTAGAGAGACTATTTGCCACAAAAAAGGGCGTGCATTTTGCTTGGCTTTGAACAATGTTTACCTATTTTAGTTCAACTAAAAGGGATAGCGTCATGGGAGTTAAGGAGAGATCCGAGTGGATGGTGAAGTGGATGGCTGAAGCCTGCAGAAGCCCTGGGGGACAGGAGGAGGGGCCCGGTGGTTCTGGCAAACCTGGTTTACCTTCCCCACCCCTCCTCGGCCCCTGGGGTTCTCAGGGCCTCTACAGAGTCCCTGGCCGCCTCCGCAGACTTCTCATTCCTCAGATGGTCTTTGGTTTGCTCTTGATCTGGCTGGCTGTGTTTGGTCTCATTCTGTCAGGTGTTGGAAGGGCTACATTCTTCCGTTGTTTTGCTTGTGCCTGTGGGATCCTCACTTGCTGCGCTGTGAGGCGACTCCCTGAGGGTATTTCTGCTCCTGCTGCTTCACCTGTTGTACAATTTCCCTGATCTTGCGCTGTGCAGTCTGGCTAGCAAAGAAGTGCCCGATAATTCTGACGATCATTTCCTCATTTTCATCTGGCGTTTGGTCACGAGGCACGATGACTTCTGCACTGATTAAATTCTGCAGTTCATTCACGGTCTTGCCCCCTTTGCCAATCACCCGGCCAGCGGTGGAAGAGGGCACTCTGATATGGGTTTCCAGCTTCACGTCTTCTTTGGGGTTAAAAAAGTTTTCTTCTTTCAGTTTCCCAAAGATCCGTCCCTGGGCCTTGAACTGGGATTCCGGTGGCCAGGTGATGATGACCTTCCGCTGACGCAGGGGCGATCTTGATGGAGGCTCCCACGAATCTCGCCAGCTGTTTGATGTGTGCCCCTTTCTTCCCGATGATGGCGCCCACACCCTGGGTTGGGATGAAGAGATTGACAATCTCCTGCTCTGGATAAGAGTGATGATGCGGGAACGGGCCAAACTGGCGATGGGGGTACAGGCTGGAGAAGTATCCGAAGTGGGTATTAACAGTCAGCGTATCATTTTCAAAGGCCTCACGCAGCTTCTTCATAATCTCTATCTCAGCACTGGCACAGACCTCGACTGTGCCCTTCACAGTGATGGTTCTTTCCGGGTTGTATATGCTCAAATCCTGCGAAGATGAGATTGTTATCTTGGTCCCTGTTTCATGTTCATTTTTCTTCAAATTTCTGCCTTCTTTTCCAATCAGTCTTCCAACCAAGCCATTGTGGGCCAAGATTTTCAGAGGAATCTCTTCGGCTAGTTTGGCCTCATCTGCCTCTTTCTGCATTATTTCAAGAATCATGCGGCATGCTTCAGAAGTCCCCTCTGGGGTGGCATGGTGACAGGCTTCTCTGCAGCTCTGGAGTTCTCTTGTCTATAGATGTCTACCCGGGACCGGCTCTGCTTAGTGATGTTCTTTATGGTCAAGCCCTCCTTTCCGATGATGGCACCAACAAACTGGGTGGGGAACAGGACACGCAGTGGGAAATCAATCTGTCTGGCCTGAGAAGAGCCCCCAGGGGCTTGGCCTTGCTCCCAGGAAGAGTGGTCCCCACGCTGGGCTCGCTGAGGGGGCGAAGGGCAGCTCACCTCGTCATCCGGGATGTAGGAAATCTTGAAGTAGTGGTTCTCAAACTGATGCCCGCTTAGCTTCTTCATGGCTATTTTTACTTCTTCTTTTGTTGCATATGTGACGTTGACAACAGCGGTCTCTGTGTCTGTGTTGACTTGTTCCACATTCTCCACTGTCCCATATTGAGCCAAAAGTCCATCCAACACCTCCCACTGCAGGTGAGGAGGGATATTTCGAATCGGAATGTTCCTGCTCCTTAGCTTTATAGAGACTGAATAATCAACTTCCATGATTTTCCCATGCAATTCCACTTGACCCGAGAGGGTCTCGATGGTGCGGATGGCCCAGTTCTGGTCGGGGTAGTCCACGAAGGCGTAGCGGGACTTGAGCAGGACCTGTCCCGCCAGGGGCAGCTTCCTGTCCCCAAAGAGCTGCCGGAGGTCTTCGGCGGTGACGGCGGGGCTCAGGTTCCCGATGAAAAGCTTGTTCATCATCCGTCTGTTCCCCGAGGGCCGGCGGCTCCCCCGCCCGATACCCTGCGCTCCTCGCCTCCTCTGCTGCCCTAGTCTCTCTTCTTCCTCCTCCGCCCCGCCTCCCCGCCACCCACCCCCACCCTCAGCCTGGCTCCCCTCTTGAAGCACTTTAAACGTGTTTTCTACTTTAATCTTTACAAGAATTGAATGAGGTATGTCCATTTTACAAATGAGGAAACCAAGTCACAGAGAAGTTAAGTCATCTACATGTTTTATGGCTGCAATATCAGATGACGCTTAAGTTTATGCAGTATCAGTCTAAATAACTCATCTTATTTAAACTGTATGAGTTAGATTGGGCTTTATCTTACTAGTCTCTTTTTCTAATACTTTTTTTAAAAAAGCAATTGTTAAGGGAACCACAATTAACTTCAGCACAATGACAGATGCTATTACTCAGAGGTTATGATAACTTTAAAGATTAAAGATTAAATTGACTCGCCGGGCGCGGTGGCTCACGCCTGTAATCCCAGCACTTTGGGAGGCCGAGGCGGGCGGATCACGAGGTCAGGAGATTGAGACCATCCTGGCTACCACGGTGAAACCCCGTCTCTACTAAAAATACAAAAAAAAAAAAAAAAAAAAATTAGCCGGGCGTGGTGGCGGGCGACTGTAGTCCCAGCTACTCGGGAGGCTGAGGCAGGAGAATGGCCTGAACCCAGGAGGCGGAGCTTGCAGTGAGCCGAGATCGTGCCATTGCACTCCAGCCTGGGCGACAGAGCGAGACTCCGTCTCAAAAAAAAAAAAAAAAGAAAGAAAGAAAGATTAAATTGACTTATTGTGAAAGTTTAGCCAACCAAAAATTCCAGTATAAATGAAAAAATATCTAGTAACGCTGATACAATCTTACTCGACTAATCTTTTAAAACCTGTATTTTCATCTTCAACACAAACATCAGGACTTCTAAAGTTGGATTTAAATGTCTTATGCCTGCAGTATTAGATGATGATCTCAGAATAAGTTTTCCCAACGTTCTGTACTTGTCTTATACTGTCAAAAATATGATAATTCATTTTAAAAATCTTTGCTCATAAAGATATCTATCTATATTTTCTTTCATAACCATGTTTATATAGAACATAAAAATACAGATAGTTTGGCCAAACTACCTGTATCTGAGTTTTCGTCAAACTATCTATATTTTTATGTTCTATATTGTCTAAATGATAGCTTAGCCTGGAAAAATGTCAAACTATTACCTTTGCCTCCTTATATTTCATTTTATTTATTTATTTATTTATTTATTTATTTATTTATTTATTCATTTTGAGTCAGAGTCTTGCTTTGTTACCCAGGCTGGAGTGCAATCATAGCTCACTGCAGCCTCAAATTCCTGGGCTCAAGTGATCCTTTTGCCTCAGCCTCCCAAATAGCTGGGACTACAGGCATATGCCACCATGCGCAACCAATTTTTTTTTTTTTTTTTGTAGAGATGGGAGTCTGGCTATGTTCCCACAGCTGGTCTTGAACCCTTGGATTCAAGCAGTCCCCCAGCCTTGGTCTCCTAAAGTGCTGCGATTACAGGCATAAGCCACCATGCCTGGCCTGTCTTCTTTTAAATAGAAAAAAAATTATGTTTTTGCATGCCTTTACTTAGTTCTCATCTAATAAGCCCAAAAATGTGCTTTTGAAAAGGTATGCTTTCTCTACCATATCACTTGAAATTAAAGACTCAAATTGCAGAAACACATATACATCAAATTATGAACTGTGTTTGTCTTTAAAATATCCTTTGAAAAAAATCTTACTTGAAGAGGCTAGAGAGATGATGATTCATGCTATAATTTTATCTCATGAAACTATAGCAAATTTCTTTGGCTAACATCCCAGTCAAATTCTAAATATGACTTAATTCTACATGGAACATAACTGTCAAACTCTGTATTCATTTTAAGTTTCTTAAATCTATACCCAAGTACTGTATTTGACCACCCGTAGCTACCAATTTCAGAGAAAACAGTTTAAAATCGCTCTTAAAATTTTAAGTTCTAAGTAGTCAATCACTTTTTGCTATAGTTCTGGGAGATATAATTATTATATCAAGCACTATATAAATTTTGCTTTTCATTCAATTTTGTACATTTCTGTATCTAGCATACAGATTTTTCTTTCATAATAATAGCAAAACAAAGAAAAATAACTACAATTTGAGAGCCTACTATGTGCCATGTACATTACATACATTATTGTCAATCAGCTTCACAATCCTGGAAGACAGTTATTGCCCATGGGCGAAGGTAGTACTCTTTGTTCTGTTCCTTTGTCCTTTAACTCAATCTGCAAGGAGCAGTTTTCTATGGTTTGATTTGGTTTGGTTAATGAACATTGCATGATCTGCAGCTAGCAGCTTGGTGCATGGCCATTTATCAAATGCCCTAAGAAGACTGGGATGGCAATAAGAGCTAGTGCTATATTTTCAAAACTGAATTTGGTTCTTTCCCTTCTTTTCAATTCTGCACCCATGTGGATGTGGAAGGAACACTTAGGACTTGGTAGAAGTCTAAACCACTTCCCCTTTCTCTGTTCTCTTTGCTTTTTTTTTTTTTTTTTTTTTTTTTTGCTTTTTTTTTTTTTCACACAAACTTAGTGTTTTGCCCTGACACAGGAAGGTCTGGGATAGATACCTTTATTTTCAGTGAACAACTTTTTGCTCGTATTTGTCCCTTGTTCTCTAGATCTGGCAGGTGTCCTTTTCATACCACTGGAAAGGCAAATTTCAAAACTTGAGGGTGAATGAGATGATGAGGCAGGAAGGAGAGACTAGATGTGCCATTTGACTTGCTTTGGGTGTTGGTGTTTGTAGCCTCCAGCCTAAGGAAGTGGAATTCTACACTTCTTCTGGTCCAGCTCTCTGGAGTTTTGCATTAAGGTTTGGAGCCAAAGATACAGCTAACAATGAAATATGA
This sequence comes from Homo sapiens, assembly GCF_000001405.40. Taxonomy (NCBI): domain Eukaryota; kingdom Metazoa; phylum Chordata; class Mammalia; order Primates; family Hominidae; genus Homo; species Homo sapiens. The sequence continues at coordinate 42,283,964 of NC_000012.12, read as the reverse complement.
CTTTGTCTTGATTTGCCCCCATTGTGCAATAGCTTCCTCAACACTGTCACAGAAAGGAGTGACAGGCCCAAGACCAAATTCAGACATTCCTAGTCAAATACCTTTCAGCACTATCTTGATGCTAATCCATTTTTATAATTTTAACATATTATAATAGCAAAGATCAGCCAGGTGCTGTGGTTCATGTCTGCAATCCCAGCACTGAGAGAGGCCAAGGTAGGAGGATCACTTGAGCCCAGGAGTTCGAGACCAGCCTGGGCAACATAGTGAGACCCTGTCTCTACAAAAAATTTTAAAAATTAGCCAGGTGTGGTGGTGTGCACCTGTAGTCCCAGCTACTCAGGAGGCTGAGGTAGGAGGATCAACTGAGCCTGGGAGGTTGAGGATGCAGTGAGTTGTGACAGTGCCATTGCACTCCAGCTTGGGCAACAAAGCGAGACCCAGTCTCAAAAAAATTGCAGGCTGGGTGTGGTGGCTCACGCCTATAACCCCAGCTCTATGAGAGGCTGAGGCAGGCAGATCACTTGAGGTCAGGAGCTCGAGACCAGCCTGGCCAACATGGTGAAACCTCATCTCTACTAAACATACAAAAATTAGCCAGGCGTGCTGGCAGATGCTGTAATCCCAGCTATTCAGGAGGCTGAGGTACGAGAATCACTTGAATCTGGGAAGCGGAGTTTGCAGTGAGCTGAGATTGCCCTATTGTACTCCAGCCTGGGTGACAGAGGGAGACTCCCCCTCAAAAAAAAGTTGCAAAAGCATATACTATGTGCTAGGCTCTGTTGTGACTGCTTTAATAATCCCCACAACAAACACAATGAAATGAAATAAACCATTAAGATTGGAAGAAAACACTATGTGCTGAATGTTGGCAGTAGTGAAAGAGTTAAAATATATAAAATTTTATAATTTCCCTGTAGGGGTATAGGCCTCCTTAGTGCTGCTATGAACAGTTTTAGCTCTTAGCTGAGACCAAATCTGCAAATTATAGAAATCACTTAGCTTCACATATGGTGTCATTAATTACTTGAAGAAAAAATATTGAGACTTTTTTCTCTTGAATTTCTATCTTTTAATTAATGGGTCTATCATTCCACATTTGTTTTTGTGAAATAACAACTCCAAATTATTTCAAAAAGGCTGCTTCAGCTTGCATTCGTTTAGTAAATTAAACACTATCTTCCATGGGTATTCAGCGTTCATGGTAAAAAACGTGAAGGATGGGAACTGAGGGAAGAAACATTACTTTCTATCCAATCCCATAGCAAGATTCTTACTTAAAGGTCATAATACAAGGTTGTCAGCCAGCTTCAACTAACAAGCCTACAAATAAAATCATTTTAGAAGATAGGAGGTCAGAGGGGCTGATAAACCAGCTGACAGTGTTCTAACGTAGCTCCCGTAATCTTGTGCTACATGATGGATCAAAGTCTCTACAGACTGTTAGGGAAGAGCCAAAACAAAAGCAGGTCAAAAGTTGAAACCAGATACAGAGGAGGGTATAAGCAGGTCAATGAGACCTAGTAAAATAAAGCAAAAGCAGAATCTGAGATTGGCCAAGGACAGAAACCAAGTTGCACAATGACACAATAAAAACTAGTGGAGATAAGTAGAAAAGGCAGAGTCCTTAAAGATAATTAAGCTTTAGATCAGCTTGAGCTAAAAGAAGTAAATCAAGGGAGAGCTGAATAGAGGTCTCTGTGAAATCCAACAAAGATGTGCTATGTAGCAGCCCCAATTTTGGTACATAAAGCCTTATAGATGTTCCTCCACTAGTTTTAAAGGTTGCAAACATGGCATTTGACAGAGACATTTGACAGAAGCTAAGGTCAGGTCACTTGGTTTTGTTCTCAAAATATGAACGTCACCCTTCTGTCTCTTAAGTGCATTCAGGTGGTTGCAAAAAGCACTGAGCCAGAAAGCATAAGAAAGGATGTAAATCTGTCTCTGCTAATATGAAACAATTCAAGGCACATGACAAATCAGCATTAAATCAGCAAAGCTTTATTTGTATTCTGATACTAAGAGCAGGAATTGGCCCATTTGCAAAGGTTCTGCTAATTGGCTCCTTTTTTTTTTTTAGAGGGAGTTTTGCTCATTGCCCATGCTGGAGTGCGACGGTGCAATCTCAGCTCGCCACAACCTCCACCTCCCAGGTTCAAATGATTCTCCTGCCTCAGCCTCCTGAGTAGCTAGGATTACAAGCATGTGCCACCACCCCTGGCTAATTTTGTATTTTTAGTAGAGACGGGGTTTCTCCATGTTGGTCAGGCTGGTCTCGAACTCCCTACCTCACATGATCCACCTGCTTCGGCCTTCCAAAGTGCTGGGATTACAGGCGTGAGCCACTGTGCCAGCCCTAATTGGCTCTTTTTAAATGTAGAAAAACAGTTATCATCATTCTGGGATCATTGGGATTATTGGTTCTGCCTCCAGATAAGCAGAATAAACAAACCTCAGTTCCAGTGGAAACTGCTTCTGTTGCATTTGTCCACACGAGGCTCTCACAGCCAATTCTAATTGGTTATTTGCTTTTCTCTTGTGTCTGTATCTTCACATTTACCTAGGCTAATGGACAGCTCCTGAGAATATTGTCACTTAAGATGTTTCCAAAAACTATTTGCCCTATGTTAGCAGAGCTAATCAGCTCACTTGCATATAGGGTTGTCCATAGGATTTAGTTTCTGTTTTCATTTCAGGAAGGGGTCAAGTAGCTTGTGATAGACCTTTAAAAAGTATAAGTGATATATCTACTTAAATATATTCCTATTTCAGTAAACTTATATCAGGGGTAGGAGGGACAAGTACATACCCAGCCAACTGATTTCACATGATCTTGCCACTAAATATTATTAGATAGGAAAGTAAAGGCATTATACTTATTCTTTTTTATTTTTATTTTTTGAGACAGTGTTTCACTTCATCTCCCAGGCTTGACTTCAGTGGCACAGTCATAGCTCACTGCAGCCTCGACCCCCAAGGCTCAAGTGATCCTCACACTTCAGCTTCCCTAGTAGTTGGGACTATAGGCGTGTACCACCACACCCAGCTGGGTTACACTTTGTCTAGTCTTCTCTTTTACAGTTATATACAATAACCTGCACCCACTATTTTATTCTTGAGATTGCAGTGATAGAAAAGTAGGATAAGAAAGGGCTGGGGGTAAAGTGGAAAATGGGATGAATGAGAGAGTCATTCATAACTTATTCAGATTTAAGTATTGGATTATTGATTTATATATAGTCTAGTTCCCCACATAGAAACTATATCCATAGCTGACATAAATTTTTTTTTTATTGCAGTATGTGATTATACTTCACTTGTCTAAAAGACTTTGGTCCAACAACTTCTCTTCTCTATAATATAAACAAGAAGTAGGAAATAAGGGGGATCGCTGTGATAAATGATAAGTTGTAATATTTCTGCACTAATGCTCATGAACTTGGCTGAAAAGACAGCCCTTTTGATTTTCAGTCAGTCCCTGTTTTCCCTGCCTGTAGAAGTAACATGGAAGTAACCTATTTGAAAGGAGGAGAAGGCAGGTGGTAGCAAGCATGATGGTAGCATAAGAAGTGGCAGTGGATGGCCAGGTGCAGTGGCTCACACCTGTAATCCCAGCACTTTGGGAGGCTGAGGTGGGTGGATCACTTGAGGTCAGGAATTCAAGATCAGCCTGGCCAACATGGTGAAACCTCATCTCTACTAAAAATACAAAAATTAGCCAGGTGTGGTGGTGCACATCTGTAATCCCAGCTACTCAGGAGGCTGAGGCAGGAGAATCACTTGAACTCGGGAGGTGGAGGTTTCAGTGAGCCAAGATTGTACCACGTCACTCTAGCTTGAGTGACAAAGCAAGACTCTGTCAAAAAAAAAAAAAAAAAAGAATAGACTACAGCGAAGTGATAGGATGTCACTTCCAAGGGTTACAGAAGACTAGATTCCATCTTGCTTGCCCTTTCGTACAGTCTCTGCTCACTCAGATGGAAGCCAGCTGCCACAGTGTGAGCTGCCCTAGAGAGACCCACATGGCAAAGAACTGATAGAAAATTCCAGTTAATAGCCAATGAGGAACTAAGGCCCTCAGTCCAACAACCTGCAAGGAATTCAGTTCTGCCAACAACCAGATGAATGAGTTCAGAAATGGTTCCTCCCTTAGACAAATTTGAAATGACTATACCCCCAGCTGACATCCTGATTGCAGTCTTGTAAGAGACTCCAAGGTGGAGTGCCTAGCTAAGGCACACCCAGATTCTTTTTTTTTTTTTTAGCTTCCATCTTTTTAGACATGTTTTATTTATTTATTTTCTATTTTATTTATTTTTTTGAGACAGAGTCTCACTATGTCGCCCAGGCTGGAGTACAGTGGCGCGATCTCGGCTCACTGCAACCACCTCTGCCCCCTGGGTTCAAACGATTTTCATGCGTCAGGCTCTGGAGTAGCTGGGATTACAGGCATGCACCACCACGCCCGGCTAATTTTTGTATTTTTGGTAGAAACATGGTTCGCTATGTTGGCCACAATAGTCTCAAACTTCTGGCCTCAAGTGATCCGCCTGCCTGGGCCTCCCACAGTGCTAGGATTACAGGTGTGAGCCCCTGCGCCCAGCTGACACCCAGATTCTTGACCTACAGAAACTTAATTTTCAGCTAAACTTTAGAGTAATTTGTAATGCAGCAATGGATAACTAATCCAGATGGTAAAGTGCGAGATTGGGTGATGACTTTAGAAAATGTTTTGGAGAAAGCCTTTTTTTTTTTTTTTTAATTATACTTTAAGTTCTGGGATGCATATACAGAATGTGAAGGTTTGTTACATAGGTATACATGTGCCATGGTGGTATGCTGCACCCATCAACCCATCATCTAGGTTTTAAGCCCCTCATGCATTAGGTATTTGTCCTAATGCTCTCCCTCCCCTTGCCCCCCACCCCCAGACAGGCCCCAGTATATGACGTTCCCCTCCCTGTGTCCACGTGTTCTTATTGTTCAATTCCCACTTACGAGTAAGAATATGAGGTGTTTGGTTTTCTGTTCCTGTGTTAGTTTGCTGAGAATGATGGTTTCCAGTTTCATCCATGTCCCTGCTAAGGACATGAACTCACTCTTTTTTATGGCTGCATAGTATTCTATGGTGTATAGTGCCACATTTTCTTTATCCAGTCTATCATTATGGGCATTTGGGTTGGTTCCAGGTCTTTACTATTGTAAATAGTGCTGCAATAAACACATGTGTGCATGTGTCTTTATAGTAGAAAGATTTATAATCCTTTGGGTATATAGTGGGATTGCTGGGTCAAATGGTATTTCTGGTTCTAGATCCTTGAGAAATCACCACACTGTGTTCCACAATGGTTGAAGTAATTTACACTCCCACCAACAGTGTAAAAGTGTTCCTATTTTGGAGACAGACTTTTTAAGATCAGACAAATTCAAACATTTTATATCCTGAAAAGCCATTAGAGAATTTGGAAATAAAGCAAGGAGAAAGGATAATTGGTAGAGCAAAAGGAGATAAGGGAATATCAAATAACAGCCTTTCTACTCTAAATGTGGTCTATGGACCAGTAGCATCAGCATCATGTGTTGGAAATGCACAATCTCAGGCCCCACCCTAGACCTACTGAATCAAAATCTGCATTTTAATAAGAACCACTAGTAATGCCTGCAGACTGACTCAGAGCACAAGTGAACAGAATAGATTCATCCAGGGGGAAATAATGTCCAGCTGAGGCAAGAGGGAATAGGGAAGGAGATGGAAATATTAATACATTTGTAGATAGAACTGAGAAGGAGAGAACTTGGTCACAAAAATTGCTTCCCTCCCTCCCTCCCTCCCTCCCTCCCTTCTTTCCTTCCTTCCTTCCTTCCTTCCTTCCTTCCTTCCTTCCTTCCTTCCTTCCTTCCTTCCTTCCTTCCTTCCTTCCTCTCTTTCTCTCTTTTTTTGACAGGGTCTTGCTCTGTTGCCCAGGTGGGAGTGCAGTGGTGCAATCGTGAATCACTACAGCCTCAGCCCCCCAGGCTCAAGATTCTCCCGCCTCAACCTCCCGAATAGCTTAGACTACAGGCAAACACTACTATGCCAGACTAGTTCTTTTGTATTTTTTTGTAGAGACAGGGTTTTGCCATGTTGCCCAGGCTGGTCTTGAACTTCTGGTCTCAAGTAATCTGCCTGTTTCAGACTCCCAAAGTGCTGGGATTATAAGCATGAGCCACTGCGCCTAGCCACTTCGGTGCTTTCTATGAAATACAAATTCATTCAGGGCACAGAGCTTGAAATGAGTGGGAAAAAATTACAATAGCTATGAAAGTGAGTGGAGGAAGGAACAGATCCAAGAATGTATTAAATGTCTGCAAATAATTACTAGGAGTCCAGCTGAGTTTGGAGACTAGGAATTTGCCAGATGTGGGATTAAATACATTTTTTTTTCTTTTAGTGTTGTACAGTAGCCTGCATGTAGACTAGAAAAGGCAGATTGCAGAATTAATGCAAGGATGAGATACAACAGCTGGTTGAATTCTGGAAATGGGATAGTAAGTCGGAATAATGCACTAGAGCATCTTGGATGGAAAAGAAAGAAGTCGAGTCCAAGTTGAGGAAAAACAAAGATTTATTAGGCTGGTAGATAAGAAGTAAAAATAGAGAAAGGGTAAGAATCCTGGAAAATTAGGAAGGTATTTTCAGAAATCAGAGTAAAATAAGATTTCAGAGGTAAAAAGATTAGATTATTTAAATCCTCCAGCGTCTCCTTCATTTTTTAAAAAATACATCTCATGAGCGGTAACACCCTCCATTTTTAAATCTCTAGAAATAACAACAGATACGGAAATTGTAACCATATTATTTAACAAGCTCAACCCAAGGGTTGTAATTGATGACCTAGCTTTATGTAGTTTACCACCATCCCTTTAACATTTATTAAATGAGGAAAGTAGTTTTGCTGCCCCCTTGAGAGCTCCAAGAGGCCCCCAGGACTTTTTAGGTATCCCTTAGAAAATAGACAGTTTTCTGCCCACTTTTAAGTCGCAAAACACAGTCCGAATATGGAAATTAGCATCTCCAGTTTTTTGGTAAGATTATAATCTAAAGTTGATTTAGAATGAAATCTTCACTCTTACAGTTAGAGCCAACTTCAGGCCAGCCTCCCCACACCTGGAAGAGGAGATGTGATGAGTTTCTCTCTGTTTCTTCTCCCTCAACTTGACACTCATAGCTTCTGGCCCCTTGAGTGTTGAGGCACAAGAAGAGATGAAAGGAAAGGGGGTGTGGAGAATTCTTATGTGACTGATACTACTCTAGGATGACAGCATGCTCTCTAGGCTTGCAAGTGTTTAAAGCGGATTCTCTCGCGGGCGTGTTTTTAGGTTCTTAGGTTTATATTTACTCAACTGCCTGTGCTATGATGAAATTGTTTTCCTCAGTGGCCATTGCTTCTTCTGTAGATTCTCAGTCCACTCACACAGACCATCTCTTGGGGCTGGGGGAGAACCTCCTTTACCTTTGACAGAAGCCCTCCCAGGCCAGAGCACGTTTTTTGTTTGTTTGTTTTGTTTTGTTTGGTGGAGTCTTGTTCTGTCGCCCAGGCTGGAGTGCAGTGGTGCAATCTCGGCTCACTGCAACCTCCGCCTCCTGAGTTCAAGCAATCCTCCTGCCTCAGCCTCCCAAGTAGCTGGGATTACAAGTCTTCACCACCATGCCCAGCTAATTTTTCTATTTTTAGTAGAGACGGGGTTTCACCATGTTGGTCTTGAACTCCTGACCGCAAGTGATCTGCCTGCCTCGGCCTCCCAAGTGCTGGGATTACAGGTGTGAGCCACCGTGCCCAGTCACCAGAGCACTTTTTAAATGACCCTTGGCTGATAGTCCTCCCAAGGGCTCCACACCTCATCCCTGACAGTCATGTGCCTTTGGCTTCTGTCACAGGGGAATGCAGTTACTTCTCAAAGCAGAAGCATCTCTCTTGCATCTCTGCCCTGCCTCCTCAGCCAGTTGCAATAGGTTCTCATCTTTCAATTCCTCAGGCCTATCAACCAAGCCACCATTTAGTGTTGTTATAAAGGAACCTGAGGCTGGGTAAAGAAAAGGAGTATTTTTGGCTTACAGTTCTGCTGGATAGAAGACTGAGCATCCAGCAAAAGCCTCAGGCCAATTCCACTCATGGCAGAAGGTGAAGGGGAGCTGGCATTGTAGAGATCACATAGAGGGAGAAGGAAGAGAGAGGGCAAGGTGAGGAGGGAGTGGGGTGTGGTGCCAGGTTCATTTTAACACCCGGCTCTTGTGGGAACTAATATAATGAGAATTCGCTCATTACCATGAGAATGACACAAAGACATTCATGAGGGATCCTCCCCTGTGACCAAAACACTGCACGTCAAGCCCCATCTCTAACACTGAGGATAAAATTTCAGCATGAGGTTTGGGGGGACAAATATCCAAACTATAGCGACATTCATAGCAGCATTATTCATAATAGCCAAGAACTGGAAAAAAATCCAAATATCCATCCGTTGATGAATAGATAAACAAGAATGGTATATCCATACTGAATACTATTCAGCAATAAACAGGAGTGAATGACTGATACAGCCAATGACATGGATGAACCTCAAATTATTATGCTAAGGCCGGACGTGGTGGCTCACGCCTGTAATCCCAGCACTTTGGGAGGCCGAGGCAGGTGGGCCAACTGGAGTCAGGAGTTCAAGACCAGCCTGACCAAACTGGTGAAACCCTGTCTCTACTAAAAATACAAAAAATTAGCCGGACTTGGTGGCATGTGCCTGTAATCCCAGCTACTTCAGAGGCAGAGGCAGGAGAATCGCTTGAACTGGGGAGGCAGAGGTTGCAGTGAGCTGAGATCGCACCATTGCACTCCAGCCTGGGCAACAAGAGCGAAACTCTGTCTCAAAAAAAGTTATTATGCTAAATGAGAGAAGCTAGACACAAATGAGTATACACTGTATGATTCCACTTATATGAAATTTCTAGAAAAAGCAAAACTGTAGAGATGGAAAGAAAATCAGTGTGTGCTTAAGACTGAGCAGAGGGCAGATTGAACACAAACACAAAGAAACTTTAGAGGACAATGGAAGAGTTCTTTTTTTTTTTGAGATGGAGTCTGGCTCTGTCGCCCAGGCTGGAGTGCAGTGGCACGATCTTGGCTCACTGCAAGCTCCGCCTCCTGGGCTCACGGCATTCTCCTGCCTCAGCCTCCTGAGTAGCTGGGACTACAGGCGCCCACCACCACACCTGGCTAATTTTTTTTTTTGTATTTTTAGTAGAGACGGGGTTTCACCAAGTTAGCCAGGATGATCTCGATCTCCTGACCTCGTGATCTGCCCGCCTAGGCCTCCCAAAGTGCTGGGATTACAGGTGTGAGCCACCACGCCCAGCCGACAATGGAAGAGTTCTAAAAGTGAATTGTAGTGATGGTTGTGCAACTGTATAAATGTAATAAAACTCATTGAAGAATAATCCACTTACAATGAGTAAATCATACAATATATAATTATACCTCAATAAAACTGTGAAGAAAAACCTTATTGGCTACTACTAAAACAGAAGTAGAATCTATAACCCCTAAACAGTTAAAATAAAAATAAATTAATAGACTCCAACTACTCTAACAAAAAGAAAAATAGGGAGAAGAAGAAACAATAAAAGAAAAACACACATAGCAAATACAAAATAAAGTGGTAATGAGAGATGACAGCGTGCTGGCAGCCCTCGCAGCCCTCGATGGCTCTGGGTGCCTCCTTGGCCTCCGCGAACATTCTGGCTGCGCTTGAGGAGCCCTTCAGCCTGCTGCTGCACGGTGGAAGCCCTTCTCTGGGCTGGCCGAGGTCGGAGCTGGCTCCCTCGGCTTGCGGGGAGGTGTGGAGGGAGAGGCATGAGCGGGAACTGGGGCTGCACCCAGTGCTTGCGGGCCAGCTGGAGTTCCGGGTGGGTGTGGGCTTGGTGGGCCCCACACTCGGAGGGGCCGGCCGGTCCTGCTGGTCCTGGGCAGCAAGGGGCTTAACACCCGCGCCAGCAGCTGCGGAGGGTGTGCTGGGTCCCCCAGCAGTGCTGGCCCACCGGCGCTGCGCTTGATTTCTTGCCAGGCCTTAGCTGCCTCCCTGCAGGGCAGGGCTGAGGACCTGCAGCCCGCCATGCCTGAGTGCCTCCCTTCCCCCTTCAGTGCAGCCCCAGCCTCCCCAACGAGTGCTGCCCCCTGCTCCACGGTGCCCGGTCCCATCGACCGCCCAAGGGCTGACGAGTGCGGGCGCACTGCACGGGACTGGCAGGCAGCTCCACCTGTGGCCCTGGTGCAAGATCCACTGGGTGAAGCCAGCTGGGCTCCTGAGTCTAGTGGGAACTTGGAGAACCTTTATGTCTAGCTAAGGGATTGTAAATACACCAATCAACACTCTGTATCTAGCTCAAGGTTTGTAAACACACTGCTCAGCACCCTGTGTCTAGCTCAGGGTTTGTGGATGCACCAATGGGCACTCTGTATCTAGCTAATCTGGTGGGGACTTGGAGAATCTTTATGTCTAGCTAAGGGATTGTGAATACACCAATCGGCATTCTGTATCTAGCTCAAGGTTTGTAAATGCACCAATCAGCACTCTGTGTCTAGCCTAAGATTTGTAAATGCACCAATCAGCACCCTGTGTCTAGCTCATCTGGTGGCGACTTGGAGAACCTTTATGTCTAGCTAAGGGATTGTGAATACACCAATTGGCACTCTGTATCTAGCTCAAGGTTTGTAAATGCACCAATCAGCACTCTGTCTAGCTCAAGGTTTGTAAATACACCAATCAAAACTCCATATCTAGCTAATCTAGTGGGGAAGTGGAGAACTTTTGTGTCTAGCTCAGGGATTGTAAATGCACCAATCAGCACCCTGTCAAAACGGACCAATCAGCTCTCTGTAAAACAGACCAATCGGCTCTCTGCAAAATGGACCAATCAGCGGGATCCGGGTGGGACCAGACAAGAGAATAAAAGCAGGCTGCCCAAGCCAGCAGCAGCAACCTGATGGGGTCCCCTTCCACGTTGTGGAAGCTTTGTTCTTTGTTCTTTCACTCTTTGCAATAAATCTTGTTGCTGCTCGCTCTTTGGATCCACACTGCCTTTATGAGCTGTAACACTCATCGTGAAGGTCTTCAGCTTCACTCCTGAAGCCAGTGAGACCACAAACCCACCAGAAGGAAGAAACTCCAAACGCATCCAAACATCAGAAGGAACAAACTCCGGACACGCCGCCTTTAAGAACCATAACACTCGGCACGAGGGTCCATGGCTTCATTCTTGAAGTCAGTGAGACCAAGAACCCACCAATTCCGGACACAGTAAAGCTGGGCATAGTGGCTCACGCCTGTAACCTCAGCACTTCGGGAGGCCAAGGCAGGCAGATCACTTAAGGCCAGGAGCTTGAGACCAGCTTGGCCAACATGGCAAAAACCCATCTCTACTAATAATACAAAAATTAGCGGGCATGGTGGTGCATGCCTGTAATCCCAGCTACTCGGGAGGCTGAGGCAGGAGAATCCCCTGAACCCAGGAGGGGTAGGTTGCAGTGAGCGGAGATCGCGCCATTGTACTCCAGCCTGGGTGACAGAGCAAAACTCCGTCTCAAAATAAATAAATAAATGGTAAGATTTGTCCACACTTCTCACAACTGCAAACATTGTAAGCAAATATTTGCTGATTTAAAAAAATCTTTTTAAAAATTAACTTTATACTGAATTTCTAAGAGATCTTTATGTAAAAAAATCACAGATGGGAGCTCAAGGAGGTGGCACAGCCCAGAATGTGGCTTTGAGAACAGGCTGTTGGAATGATTGAAGGAAGTCAAGAAACTTCAAGATCAAAACTGAATATCAGGCCGGGTGTGATGTCTCACACCTGTAACCTCAACACTTTGGGAGACCTGGGCAGGAGGGTTGCTGGAGACCTGGGCAGGAGGGTTGCTTGAGTCCAGAGTTCAAGACCAGCCTGGGCAACCTGGCAAAACCCCGTCTCTACAAAAAGTTAAAAAATTAGCTGGGTGTGGTGGCTTGTGCCTATAGTTCCAGCTACTCAGAGGGCTGAGGCAGGAAGATTAACTGAGCTTGGAGGAGGTCAAGGCTGTAGTGAGCCAGATCACGCCACTGCACTCCAGCTGGAGTGACAGAGACAGACCCTGTCTCAAAGAAGGAAGGAAGGGAGGGAGGGGAGGGAGGGGAGTGGAGGGAGGGAGGGAAGGAAGGAGCGAGCCAGCCGGGTGTGGTGGCTTATGCCTATAATCCTAGCACTTTGGGAGGCTGAGGCAGGTGGATCATCTGAGGTCAAGAGTTTGAGACCAGCCTGGCCAACCATGTTGGTGAAACCCCATCTCTACTAAAAATACAAAAAATTAGCCGGGTGTGGTGGCAGGTGCCTGTAATCCCAGCAACTTGGGAGGCTGAGGCAGGAGAATTGTTTGAACCCAGGAGGCAGAGGTTGCAGTGAGCCAAGATGGTGGCACTGCACTCCAGCCTGGGCAACAGAGCAAAAAACTTCATCTCAAAAAAACAAAAACAAAAACAAAAAACCACACACACACACAAAAGGAAGGAAGGAGAAAAAAGAAAAAAAGATTGACTATCAATATTGCAACTGTCTAGAATGATTATGAAATTCTGGATAGAGAGCAAGATTGAGGAACATTTCCTGAGAGGTCGGGTAATCACAATGCTGCTGAGTGTTGAAAGATGAAAACAATGGTGTGAACCTTGAAGAAGAAAGTGATTTTACATAGGAGAGGAAGAATAAAAGTCTAAAACTGACAAAAAGAAAGGAGATTGATGACACCCCCTCCGTGGCCTTTGTTTCATAGGGTGTGAGAGGATGAACAACGTCTTCTCAATGGGTTGTAGACAAAGTGTGATAAGAGGGCAGCCAGTGAAGACAAGAGCAGGGGAGACACATTCAGGGGAAAACTGAGATAGAGAATATGTAAGAGTTAGGTTTGTATCTGGTCGTATGTAATAGAGTCATGACCTAGGGCAGATTAATCAAATAGGGAGTTTACTGACCTTATGAAATAAAAAGTCTAAGAATAAGCATTTCAGGGTTGGCACTGCAGTTTCCTGAGATCATCAGGGAAACATCCTGCTTGCTTCCTGTGATACTGTTCTTAGCATGTGGCTTTCAATTTTATGGTACCAAGGCTGTAAAGCCAAGCATCATGTTCTGGATATGGACAGGAAGAAGAGGTGGAGAAAAGGGCAAAGTGTGTGCCTACTTGACTCTGCCTCCCTCCCCGTCCTCCCCACCCTTTTTTTTTTTCCTTTTGAGACAGAGTCTCACTCTGTTGCAAAGGCTGGAGTGCAGTGGCTCGATCTCAGCTCACTGCAACCTCCGCCTCCTGGGTTCAAGTGATTCTTCTGCCTCAGCTTCCCAAGTAGCAGGACTACAGGAACACACCATCACACTCGGCTAATTTTTGTAATTTTAGTAGAGATGGGGTTTCACCATGTTGGCCAGGCTCGTCTTGAACTCCTGACCTCAAGTGATCTGCCTGCCTCAGCCTCCCAAAGTGCTGGAATTACAGGCATGAGCCACCACCCTCAGCCTGACTCTGCCCCCTTTTAATAGTAAAACAATAGTTTTTCTGGAAACTCTGAAGTAGACTTCTGTTTATATCTCATTGGCTAAAGTCATGTCAACTATGACCACCCCCAACTTTATGTTTGATTTAGGGCACATTGATCAAAATAAATGAGCAAAATCGCGTTCCATTAGTAAAGAAAGATGGCTGGGCATGGTGGCTCATGCTTGTAATCCCAGCACTTTGGGAGGCCAAGACAGATGGATCACTTGAGGCCAGGAGTTTGAGACCAGCCTGGCAAACATGGTGAAACCCTGTCTCTACTAAAAATACAAAAAAATTAACTGGGTGTGGTGGCAGGCACCGGTAGTCCCAGCTACTCGGGAGGCTGAAGCAGGAGAATTGCTGGAACTCAGGAGGCAGAGGCTGCAGTGAGCAGAGTTTGTGCCACTGCACTCCAGCCTGGGTGACAGACAGAGATTCTGTCTCAAAAAGAAAAAAAAAGAAAGAAAGGTTATATATATCAACAGAAATTGATTTGTCACAGTTCTGGAGGCTGGAAGTCCAAGATCAAGGAACCAGCATACTCAGTGTCTGGTGGGGGCCTGCTTTCCGGTTTGCAGATGGCACCTTTTCACTGTGTTCTCACATAGTGGAGCCAGCTAGCTATCTGGCTCTCTGGGGGTTATTTTATTTATTTATTTATTTATTTTTATTTTAGATTCAGAGTGTACATGCGCTGGCTTCTTACACAGGTATATTGCATGCTGCTGAGGTTTGGGCTTCGAATGATCTCATCACCCAAGCAGTGAACATAGTACCTGATAGTTAGCTTTTTAACCCTTGCACTCCTCCATCCCTACTCTTTTTTGGAGCCTCCAGTGTCTATTGTTTCCATCTTTGTGTCCGTGTGTACCACCCAATGTTTATCTCCCATTTATAAGTGAGAACATGTGATACTTGGTTTTCTGTTTCTGCATTAATTCCCTTAGGATAATGGCCTCTAGCTGCATCCATGTTGCTGCAAAGGACGATTTCATTTTTTTCTTATGGCTGCAAGATTTTGGATAGACAATTAGCAGCTGGTGCCAGAGTATTCATTCATTATAATCTCGTGTTGTTCTAAAAGGTACTAAGGAGGTTTTACAAATATGTTAACAACACAGCAAAGTTTTTTTTTTTAAAGTATTAGAGACAAAGCAAAGAAGAAGGGAGAATAAGATTATAAGACAAAGAAGAAAGTAAAATTTATTCACAAAATTGGCCCTGAGCTTTCTAGCAGGCAATTCAAAGAGTAAAACACTCTAAAGGAAATGCAATGTTCTTGAGAAAATGGTTGGTTTGTTTGTGGAGAGTGCTCCAAAAGGCATGGTAAGGGATGAGGTGGGTGGACAACCACCACTGGGAGAGGGAATTATTGAGGAGAACGTACAAAGAGGTACTTCAAAATATAGGATAGGCTGGATGCGGTGGCTCACACCTGTAATCCCAGCACATTGGGAGGCCAAGACAGGAGAATCCCTTGAGTCCAGGAATTTGAGGCCAGACTGGGCAAGGTGAAACCCCGTCTCTACAGAAAATACAAAAATTAGCTGGGCATGATGGCAAAGTGCTGGGATTACAGGCATAAGCCACCATGCCCAGCCTTCATAAACTTTTAAAAATAGCATTCTGGTAAATTCTGAATGAGGCCATAAAATGGTTATTAAAGAAATTGTTAATTTTTTAAAAACCTGGTACAAAACTTTTCCTTTCCAGGGCTAAGGAATTTGCAATATTAGATTTTATTTTTGCATACTAATAAAATTAAATTTAAAAAAAATTCTGGCCAGGTGCAGCAGCTCTTGCCTGTAATCCCAGCACTTTGGGAGGCCAAGGTGGGCAGATCACCTAAGGTCAAGAGTTCGAGACCAGCCTGGCCAACCATGTTGGTGAAACCCTGTCTCTACTAAAAATACAACAATTAGCCGGGTGTGGTGGCACACACCTGTAGTCCCAGCTACTTGGGAGGCTGAGGCAGGAGAATTGCTCAAACCCGGGAGGCAGAGGTTGCAGTGAGCCGAGATTGCACCATTGCACTCCAGCCTGGGCAACAGAGCGAGATACCGTCTAAAAAAATAAATAAATAAAAAATAAACTCAGATGCTGACTATATCTCTGACATTATTAGAATTTTAGAAAGCAAATAATGATTCTGTGAACATACTGCAGCTCCAGTAGTGGTGTAAGTGATGGCAGCAGTGGCTCATCTGGAGCAGCCGCTGCAAAGACACTGGCTGCAGTGGGGTAGGTGTGGTCAGGGCTGTATGCTCCGTGAAGCCAGTGAGAGCTGGGAACAGGTGGGAGCCCCACCTTCCTGGGCGCAGCTGCAGCCACTCAGCCACAGCTGCGGACCCAGGCATCCCGTGCTCTCGGGGGCCAGGAAGCCCCCTGCCCCCGCAGGCTCAAAAGTGCCTGCTCCCGCTGCCTGGCCTCTCCCTGTCCCTGGTGGCTGCTCCGATTTCAAAGCAAAGTTGAGGCCAAGCCCAGGAGCTGACATACCAGTCCCCTGCCACCACAGCCTCCTCCAGACTTTGGGTGCCAACAAGCACGGGAGGGAGGCCAAGGGGGGCTGAGGGTGGCTCAGTGTTGGGTACAAACATCCTGGGTGCCATGGGTGACATTTAGATGGCGGCAGGAGGCAGACAGGTTCCTGGGCAGAAAGGGATGGGTCCCCAGTGAAGCCCCACCCTCAAGCCAGGGACAGCCTGAAGCCTGGGGCCGGACTGTCAGTTTAAGGTGGAGTCCACAGCAGGGAGTGAGAACTGGTGCTTTTTCCAGGCCTACCCATGGACCAATTAGCATGCACTTCCTCCCTTCTGAACCCATTAAAAACCCTGGACTCAGCCAGACTCAGGGAAATGTCTAGACGACCTGCCTGCGGATATGCCAATAGGATCTACCCATATGCCAATAGGATCTACCCACTTTGGGACTCCTCTCCGCTGAGAGCTGCACTCATTGGGATGACCTGCCTGTGGAAAGAGCTACCCACTTTAGATCTCCTGAGACCTGTACTGTCATTCAATAAAGCACCTCTTTGCCTTGCTCACCCTCCAGTTGTCCCCGTACCTCATTCTTCCTAGACACAGGACAAGAACTCCGGGCCTGCTGAATGGTGGGACTGAAAGGGCTGTAACACAAACAGGGCTGTAACACACCCCCTCTCCTCCCACTGGCCACGTTGTGGGCGACAAGAAGGAGAGAAGAGCTGCAGCCCTTCTGCGAGCCCAGACCTAGGGTCTCCCCTAGCCAGGGCTGTGACACCCTCTTTGGAGCTCTGTGGTTTCTGGCATCTCCAAGGTTTTGGGCGCCATCGTGTTCCCTCGTCCAGATGCGGGCGCCCACAGTGGAAGCTGCTTGTGGTGTATCAGATCCAGCTGCAGGTTTACACCGAGCCGGCACCTGCACTGCTACCTGGAGCTGCCTGCCCCACTGCAGCAGCCAGCGTGCCTGGCTGTGAGCAGTAGCCAGACCCCGTGCTCACTCGCTCATGCACTCCTCCCCACTCTGTGCCTGGCTCGCTTTTGGCAGGCATGGGATCTGGGCTGGTAGCATGAAACGAGCACAGCCTGCCAGGCCAAATGGGTGGAATGAGCCCAGCAGGCTTGAGCAAAACTCAGGTAAGGGCACCACCCGCCACAGAGGCTTCCTGCCGGAAAAGTGACATTCCAATGATCCTGTGACATAAGTGCAAGATGTTCAAATTCCTTCCTTGAAGAGTATCTCCTTTATATTTTTCTTGACTTTCCCCACTGTCTACAATATCATTCACTAATGTCTAAAATTCATTTCCTTTTCTATATACTACTCATAAAACTGACAACATAAAAAGCAGTGTTAAATAAGTAGATCAAATAAGACTTTAGCTCATTAGTATGGCAGTTCCTCAAAGGATGAAACATAGGGCCAGGTGCAGTGGCTCACGCCTGTAATCCCAGCACCTTGGGAGGCTGAGGCGGGCAGATCACTTCAGGCCAGGAGTTTGAGACCAGCCTGGGCAACATGGTGAAACCCCATCTCTACTAAAAATACAAAAATTAGCCAGGTGTGGTGGTGCCCACCTGGAGTCCCAGATACTCGGGAGGCTGAAGCAGGAGAATCATTTGAATTGGGAAGGCAGAGGTTGTAGTGAGCCAAGATGGCACACTGCACTCCAGCCTGGGTGACAGAGCAAGACTCTGTCTCAAAAAAAAAAAAAAAAAAATTAAACATAGAATTATGGTATGATCTAGCAATTTCACTTTGTGGAATGCAAAGAATTGAAAGCAGGAACTGGAAAGCTATGTATACATGAGTGTTCATAGCAGTATTGTTCACAATAGCCAAAAGGTGAAAGTAATTCCAAGCGTCCATGGATCCATGGACAGATCAATGGCTAAACAAAATGTAGTGTGTACATATAATGGAATATTATTCAGCCTTAAAAAGGAAGGACATTCTGACACGTGCTACAATATATATGAACCTTGAAGACATTATGCTAAGTGAAATAAGCCAGTCACAGATGGACAAATACAGTATGACTCCACTGATATGAGGTACTTGGAGCAGTCTAATTCATAGAGATAGAAAGTGGAATGGTGGTTACCAGGGACTGAGGGAAATTGGGAGTTATTGTTTAAATGGTACAGAGTTTCAGTCTGGGGAGATGAAAAAAGTTCTGGAGATAGATGGTGGTGATGGTTGCACAACAATGTGAATATATTTAATGCCACTGAATTTTACACTTAACAGTTAAAATGGTAAATTGTAATGTGTATTTTACCACAACAAATAAATAGAAAACAACTTAAGCTCATGTAAAGATCTAAATAGTTCCAAAATAAAAAAGAACATCATCATTTTAATAATACTAACATAACTAAATCAATAAATTAAAAATGACTATAGCTTTGTATCACTAAAACTTAGTAGCTAAAAATAATTCACTACAACACAAATCACCTGCAAACAACTCAATTGATACAGAAAGAAATTGATTTCAAATACCTGTATTAGGTTCATTAAGATAAAACAACATCATATTTTACCTAGTAGAAGTGAAGGATTTATTGCAGAAATTTTCAATCAGATAGTTGCATCCAAAAATAATCACAAATGCTAAAATGTCAGTTCTTACCAAGTTGATCTATGGATTCACCCCAATCTCAATCCCAGCCTCAGCAGGATTTCCTGTAGATAGCAACAAGGTAATTCTAGAATTTATTTGTAAAGGCAAAGGAAATAGAATAGTCAAAACAATTTTGAAAAAGAAGGAAGTCGAAGGACTCACATTATCTGATGTCAAGATTTACTGTAAATCTACAGTAATCAAGACTGTGGTTTTGGCAAAAGGACAGACACATAGATCAATAGAATATAATAGAGAGTCTAGCAATAAATCCTCAAAAATACAGTCAATTGATTTTTTGCTAGGAAATTCAATGGAGAAAAGTTAATGTTGCCAACAAATTGTTCTGGAACAATTTGATCCACATGTAAAACATAAGCCCAATCCACACCTTAAATTTTATATAAAAATTGGCTCAAAATGGATCAGAGACCTAAATGTAGAACTTTAAGACTTTAGAAGAAAACACAGAAAATCTTTTTGATATTGGATTAGGCAAGGAGTTCTTAAATATGACATCAAAGTCATAGTCCTTAAAAGGAAAAAATTGATACATTGGACTTTATCAAAATTAATTTTTTTGCCTCTTTGAAAAACTCCAAAGAAAATAATAAGACAAGCAACACTTTGGGAGAAAATATTTACAAATTAAATATCTGGTTCAGGCATGGTGGCTCATGCACGTAATCCCAGCACTTTGGGAGGCTGACTTGGGAAGATAATTTGAGGTCAGGAGTTTCAAGATCAACCTGGGCAACATAGTGAGACCCTGTTTCTACAAAAAATCAAAATTTTGCCAGGCGTTGTGGTGCACACCTATAGTCCTAGCTTTGGGAGGTGAAGGTGGGAGAACTGCTTGAGCCAAGGAGGTCAAGGCTGTAGTGAGCTGTTATGGCACCACTGCATTCCAGCCTAGGTGATAGAGTGAGACCCTATCTCAAAAAAAAAAAAAAAAAAAAAATATATATATATATATATATATATATATCTGAAAAAGTACTTGAAAACAGTGCATAAAAGGGGCACTTAAGACTTGGTAATTAGATTCAGCAAAATGTTAATAAGCCATAAAGTGGAATGCAATTTTGATATATGCCACAACATGGGTGGACTTTGAAAACACGCTTAGTGAAATGAGCCAGACACAGAAGGACAAATATTGTATGATTCCACTTATATGAGGTACTTAGAAATGGAAAATTAATAGACACAGAAAGTAGAATAGAGGTTACCAGGGACTGGGAGGTGGGGTTGGGGGATACCAGGGCAAAGAGGGAGGTCAATATTTAATGAGTACAAGTTTTTGTTGGGGATGATTGATTATAGATGTTGGTGATGGTTACACAACATTGTGAGTATATTTAATGCCACTGAATTGTATGCTTATGAATGGTTAAAAAGTTAAATATTATGTTATATATATATTACCTCAATTTTTAAAAATGTCAATAGTAAGAAAACAAGCAACCTGCTGTTTTAAAATGAGCAAAAGTTTTGA
This sequence comes from Homo sapiens, assembly GCF_000001405.40. Lineage (NCBI taxonomy): Eukaryota > Metazoa > Chordata > Mammalia > Primates > Hominidae > Homo > Homo sapiens. The sequence continues at coordinate 42,263,761 of NC_000012.12, read as the reverse complement.
ATAGATGCTACACTAAAGAAGATATATGAATGGCTAATAAGCTGATGGAAAAATGTTCAACATTATTTGTCAAAAAGGAAATACAAATTGAAATCACAATGAGATGCTAGTACACACTAGAATGGCTATAGTAAAATAAAGATTGACAGTATCAAATGTTGATGAGTATTTGGGACAACTGGAACTCTCACATATAGCTAGGGGGAGTGAAAAATGGTACAGCTAGCTTGAGAAAAAGTTTGGAAGTTTCTTACTGATTTAAATATAAAATACCATGTGATCCAGCAATCCCACTCCAAAATATTTACCCAAGAGAAATGAAAACTTATAGTCACACAGAATACTGCATGCAAATGTTTACTGCAGCTTTATTCATAATCGCCAAAAACTGGAAACAACCCAGATGTCCTTATACTGGGCAATGAGTCAACAAACTGTGGTACATACACATAAAGGAATACTATTCTGCAATAAAAAGGAACAAGCTATTGATACAAGCAACCCCATTAAGGAATCTCAAATGCATTATTTTAGGTGAAAGAAGCCAGACAGGAAAGGCTACATGCTGTATGATTTCATTTGTATGACATTCTGGGAAAGGCAACTCTAGGAGTGGAAACCAGATCAGTAGTTGCCACCTGGTTAGAGCTGGGTAAAAGGGTTGACTACAAAGGAGTAGCATAAGCGAATATTTTTGGATATTGGAATCATTTTATATCTTGACAAGGCTAGTGGTTACATGACTGAATGCATTAGTTGAAATTCATAGATGAGTGAATTTTACTATATGAATTGAAATATAAATTTTAGAAAATGATTGCATACATATAATGAAAACCTTGGTTAATAATAATCTGGAGACCTCCTGCAGTGACTAGTGAAAGAGTGAATATATGATCAAGAAACATCAAAAGAGATGCTGCAGAATATGTGAAGAGGTGTGCTAATGTTGTAAATATTGTTTCAGGCATGATAATATGGTTTTGTACAAAAAATTGTCTTACAAATAAATATACATTGGTAAATAGATCACTGTATTACTACAAAGATGAACACAAGCCATATTTTAAAGAATACTATAGAATTAACCATTACATGATAAACTAGGAGTCATAATAATAGATTAACAAATTTTGCCAACCGATTATTCATTCTGCAATCATAAAAGTAAAAAGGCCGTGGAAAAAATGCCTTGCTATTAAAAACATCATAGAAATTTCTTGGGGTGGAGGAGAAGTATGTGCCTCTGGCAAAGAAGCTAAAAGCAAATGTGGAAACTCAAAACCCTCAAAGTAAAGCTGCTTCTCTTTCTGGCAACTGGCATGACTTCATATATATGAAATCTTACTTGGACATCTTATCAACTAGAAATGCTTTGATGTCAGTTTAGAAGCAAGAATTTCTCTATGCTTGCTAAATAACTAGAGATTTCCATCTCCACAAATTATTATTATAAAGCTCTTCTATTAAAATAAGACCAGATTGATTTTATACGTGATCACATCTTACATTTGTAAAATGTATCAACTCTACAAAGCACTTTTACGTGTGTGTGTGTGTGTGTGTGTGTGTAATATATGCCTCATTTAAACTTAAAATTTATGCTTGGATTTGAGAAGATTTTAGAAACTTTCAGACCTGTAACATTCTATTATTTTCAAGTAGTTCAGGAGTTTTATAGCAATTTAGCCATAGAAATACATATCACTATAAAGGTTACAATTTATTTTGGTCCTTTCACTTCATAATAAAAAGAGAGTATAAGGTTTGTTGAGATCTACACTTTAGGCAGCTGTCACCAACAGTGGCATTTGAGTTTTGGCCTTGATTCAAATAGAAACTAAGATTTCATCTCTCCTAGGCCACACCGCGCCCAAACACTATGTATTATGTGAATAGAATGATAGAATTTTAGAATTTCATACCAAGAACAATCGTGAGAGATTTTTGAGTACAATCCTTTCATTTTGCAAACGAGAAAACTGAGGTCCAGAGGACCTAAGTGATAAATACTTTGAGAAGGGGTGGGGGGAGGGGGGAGGGATAGCAGTGGGAGATATACCTAATGCTAGATGACGAGTTAGTGGGTGCAGCGCACCAGCATGGCACATGTATACATATGTAACTAACCTGCACATTGTGCACATGTACCCTAAAACCTAAAGTATAATAAATAAATAAATAAATAAATAAATACTTTGAGAAATATTTAGACACAAAAAATACTTAGATAAAAAACAGTTCCAGAATAGAACTGGAGCCAACTCAAATATGTTACAACCTTCAGCTGATTCTATACCTCTCTCCTTGTTTTAATTTGTATAAATAGGCTGGGTGCAGTGGCTCATGCCTGTAACCCCAGCATTTCGGGAGGTTGAGGCGGGTGGATCACTTGAGCACCCTGGGCAACAAGATCAGCCTGGGCAACATGGCGAAACCCCATCTCTACAAAAAATACAAAAATTAGCCGGGTGTGGTGGCATGAACCTGTAGTCCCAGCTACTCAAGAGGCTGAGGCAGGAGGATTGCCTAAGCCTGGAGGTCAGAGTGCAGTGAGCCATGTTTGTGCCACTGGACTTCAGCCTGAGTGACAAAGTGAGACTTTGTCTCTAAAATAAAATATAAATAATCATAATTGTTGTTTTGCCTGAATTGTTTTTTTTTTCTTTTTTAATTTTTGAGATAGAGTCTCGCCCTGTTGCTCAGGCTGGAGTGCACTGGCATGATCTCGGCTCACTGCACCTTCCACCTCCCGGGTTCAAGTGATTCTCATGCCTTAGCTTCTCAAGTACGTGGGATTACAGGTGCCCACCACCACGCCAGGCTAGTTTTTGTACTTTTAGTAGAGATGGGGTTTTGCCATGTTGGCCAGGCTTATTTCAAACTCCTGAACTCGAGTGATCCGCCCGCCTCGGCCTCCAAAGTGCTGGGATTACAGGCATGAAACACCTTGCCTGGCCTGAATTGTTCTTTTGCCTAGGGACAGGGCACCCTAGGCAGAACGAATCCTGGCAGGTGGCCTAGATGTCCCATGAGAGTATTCAGTGAGTCCAGGGAGGATGGGCTACCTGACAATTCCACTAAGCTGTTTGGGCTTCCATGAGTCAGAGGAAAGAAAAGAGCAATGCTCCTTTTCAAGCCCCAGTGGCACTCAGGTAAGCCAGGTAAAAGCAAACATTTGCATAGAACTTACCGTACCAGCCACAGTACTTTGTGTTATCAACCCACAATAATTCTTTTTTGTTTTTTTTTTTTTGAGATGGAGTCTTGCTCTGTCGCCCAGACTGGAGGGCAATTGTGTGATCTTGGCTCACTGTAACCTCCGCCTCCCGGCAAGTACTATTATCACTCCATTTGATAGGTGAGGAAACTGAGGCACAGGAGAGTTAAGTAACTTCTCCAATATTCAGGTAGACAGTGGTAGCACTGGGATTAGAAACTGTCAGTTTGGCTCTAGAGTCTAGCCATTGTGTTGAGCTGCCTCAGAAAAACAGCTGGCACTTAGATATTACATATAAGTGCTAGGTGCCCTTCCTTCTTTCCTTCCTTCCTTCCTCTCTCTCTTCTTTCTTTCTTTCCTTTCTTTCTTTTTTCCTTTCTTTTCTTTCTTTCTTTTTCCAGACAAAGTCTCTCTCTGTCACCCAGGCTGAGTGCAATGGTGCAATCTCAGCTAACTTCAACCTCCACCTCCCAGGTTCAAGAGATTTTTCCTACCTCGGCCTCCCTAGTAGCTTGTACTACAGGTGCACGTCACCACACCCAACTAATAAGGCACTTTTCCCAAGGGCTGTACATATATTAAGTGGTTTAACCCTCATAATAATCCTGTAAGTACATATTATTATTAGTCCCATTTTACAGATGTGAAAACTGAGCCATGGGTTAAGTAATTTGCCCACAGTTACACAGCTAGTATGCTTCAGAAGCAGAATCTGAATCCTGGCAATCTGGTGACAAAAGATCCCTTGCTTGGCCAAACTTTAGTCAGGCTTCTTTTTATTTTTTTTTATTTTTGAGAGGAGTCTTGTTCTCTCCCCCAGGCTGGAGTGCAGTGGCGCGATCTCGGCTCACTGCAAGCTCCGCCTCCCGGGTTCACGCCATTCTCCTGCCTCAGCCTCCCGAGTAGCTGGGACTACAGGCGCCCGCCACCATGCCCGGCTAATTTTTTGTATTTTTAGTAGAGACGGGGTTTCACCGTGTTAGCCAGGATGGTCTCGATCTCCTGACCTCGTGATCCGCCCGCCTCGGCCTCCCAAAGTGCTGGGATTACAGGCGTGATCCACCGCGCCCAGCCTAGTCAGGCTTCTTAACCTTCTGCTAAGCCCATTTGTCCACTTTCTTGTAAAATCCCATTTTAGCAAAGAACCCTGCTGGGTGAATTTGACAAGAACTGCCCTCATCCATGATATCTGATCATCTTCAATACCTGATCAGGTTCCTCATTCTCCCTGTTCCCCAGGTGATATCTGGTCACCCTGGCCTGTCTTCAGGAAACATCCTGTTAGTTTGGTTTAGCTTGAATCCTCTTTACCCCTGACATTTCTTCTTTGTAAATTTCTATCCACTGACTCCCACTCTGCTCCTTGGCTATAATTCCCACTGTGATGTTATTGAAGTTGAGCCCAATCTCTCTTTCCCACTGCAAGACCTCATTGTGGTGGTCCCTCTTCCTATCGCAGTGGTACTGAATAAAATCTTCCTAACTGTGCTTCAACAGGTATCACTGAGTAATTTTTTTCTTTTTACACTGGCTATAGATAATGCCCCAACCACTGGTTTTTGCTTCTTTACAAATTTATTAATATTAAAAATTTTTAAATATATTTAATTCTGGCCGGGCACGGTGGCTCACATCTGGAATCCCAGCACTCTGGGAGACTGAGGCCGGTGGATCATTTCAGGTCGAGACCAGCATGACCAACATGATGAAACCCTGTCTGTACTAAAAAAAAAAAAAAAAAAAAAAAAAAAAAAAGCCAGGTAGGTAGTGCACACCTGTAATCTCAGCTACTCTGGGAGTTTTAGGCAGGAAAATCGCTTGAACCTGGCAAGCAGATGTTGCAGTGAACCGAAATCGTGCCACTGCACTCCAGCCTGGGTGACAAAGAGAGACTCCGTCTCAAAAAAAAAAATTTTGCATATATATATATATATATATATATATATATATATATATATATATATATTTTAATCCAATTAATGTTAAGTAAGGCCAGGTGTGGTCGCTCATGCCTGTAACCTCATCATTTTGGGAGGCTGAGGCAGGAGGATCACTTGAGCCCAGGAATTCAAGACTCCATCTCTACAAAAAATAAAAAAAAACAATTTTCAAAAGAAATGTTAAGTAACATATAACATGTAAAATATCTTAATTATATGATGTGTTTGCTTCTAGAATATAATATACTAATGAAATATATTATTTGAATAGCAATGTGTTTATTACAAGAAATCTTTCAGGACTCGCTGGAGTTTTATTTACATTACTGCAAAAGCCAATGTTAGTTCAATCATTTTCTTGTGAAGATGTATATGACAACAGATTGAACTTTCTCCTTAAATATCACTCTCCAAGATTATGTCTCAGGAAAATATTATTTTCACTACTGAGAAAGTTGATATTACAACTGTGTTTGTGCTATTGGTAGAGAAATTTTAGGTGCTTAAAAATTTTTCAGATATGTTACAGTAGACTTTTCAGGGTCAAACATCTTCATATAAGAATGTTTAAAATATATTTGGCTTTACTAGAGGTTGTTCTAAGTGTAACTACGATATTTATATTTTGAACTGGAAGCTTATAAAACCGCTTAATATATGATCAGAGATGAAATCTTTACAACTGTGGAGTTTATTAAAAAGCTTTTTTTTATAATAAATACAACACATTAACATACTTGGCTGTGGGGTGTGCACATAGAGTTGCTTTCCCTTTTTAATATCTAAAGATGCAGATTTGCAAGGGCACTCAGAGTTAGTGATGCAGTATGATCGTAGAGAAATAAGAATTTTGCCTTTGGGGACCCTCTCTGATTTTTAGAGATATTGAACTTTGACCTTCTCAACAACTAATTCAACTAATTCACACTATATTAAATGTTCACATGTACTGAATAAGTTTTTCCATTGGCATCTTTTCCATTGGAATCCTATAAGCTCTACAAGGATAAATAAAAAATCTTATCTCAGAGGCATGTGTTAGATTCTTTAAGTGGCACTAATAAGAACTAGTAGAAATAAAATGTAATTGATTAAAAAATGCAGAGAGACAAAAGTGGAGGCAAGAAAGAATAGGAAGACTAAGGAAAAGAAATGAATTGTGTCAAATAGAAAATTAACAGAAATGAGGAAAACTTGGAAAAGGTCGATGGAAAAGGCAATATCCATAGAAACGAAAGGAGGAAAATATAAGAAAAAACATAACAGGAGAAGAAAAGTGAAGGAAAAGTTGACATAAAATAATAAGGTCAATAGAAACCAGAGTAAAATTTTGAGGAGGATCAGAAGATAAAAATAACATTTTTATTTTATTTTATTTTATTTTTTTGAGATGGAGTCTCATTCTGTCGCCCAGGCTGGAGTGCAGTGGTACATCTCAGCTCACCGCAACCTCCACCTCCCGGGTTCAAGCGATTCTCCTGCCTCAGCCTCCTGAGTAGCTGGGACTACAGGCACAGGCCACCGCACCCAGCTAACTTTTGTATTTTTTAGTGGAGATGGGGGTCTCACCATGTTGGCCAGGCTGGTCTCGAACTCCTAATCTCAGGTGATCCACTTGCTTTGGCCTCCCAAAGTGCTGGGATTACAGGTGTGAGCCACCACGCCTGACTAAAACACATTTTTTTTTTTTTTTGAGACCGAGTTTCGCTCACGTAGCCCAGGCTGGAGTGCAGTGGTGTGATCTCGGCTCACTGCAACCTCCGCCTCCCAGGTTCAAATAATTCTTCTGCCTCAGCCTCCCAAGTAGCTGGGATTACAGGCGCCTGCCACCACACCCAGCTAATTTTTGCATTTTTAGTAGAAACGGGGTTTTGCCATGTTGGCCAGGCTGGTCTTGAACTCCTGACCTCATGATGCACCCGTCTCGGCCTCCCAAAGTGCTGGGATTACAGGTGTGAGCCACCACTCCTGGCCCAAAACAACATATTTTAAACAAAAGCTTTCTAACAAGAAAATAAAAATTACCCCCTGAGAATGGCAATATTGAATACTGAAACAGCTCTACATATAAAATACTTATTCTATTATGTAGTAAGCAGATACACTTTGTACCAAAGGAAAATCATCATATAGACCTCTAGGGCTTTGGAGCAAATCCATGCCCTTTTCTGCAAATAATTATTTGAGCTTTTCAGAAACAGCTGTCGTCTGGCTATTTAGCCCGGGGTAGAGACTGAATGCCTAACTATGGGACATCAAGTGGCAATGTTAACTGAGCTTCCCTTTATGAAATGGGTGCTACCTGAACCACCAAGCCATAAGGTTGGGTACACATGACAGCAATCTGTCCTCAAGTGGAAATGGCATATATCAGACTTATGCAGAAATGGGAAATAGGTAATTCCATGAAGAGTCCTTCAACAGTGACTGCTCCTCTCTCAACTCATATCTATTATTTTATAAGGAGTTTCTTACAACTGATTGACTGAGGGGGGAAAATCCCAGGCCTGGTATGCAAATGGTTCTACATGATATGCTGTTACCAACCAGAGGTGGATGGTTACATCATTACAGTCCCAATGAGAGGTGGCCTTGAAGGGCAGTAGTAGAGGGAAATTCTCCTAATGAGCATAAATTAGAGCAACATGTTTGGTTGTCCACCTTATCTGGACTGAAACATGGTCAGAAGTATGGATCAGCACTGATTCATGGGCAGTTGCTAACATTTGGGCTGGATGATTAAGGACTCAGAGAGGACAAGATTGGAAGAATGATACAAGAGGATCTAAGGAAGAGGTATGTGGGTGGACCTTTCAGGATGGTTGAAACATTCCATGTGAATATATTTGTGTCCCATGTAGATACTCACCAAAGGGCACCATCTGATAAGGAAACTTTTAATGATCAGGTGAACAAAATGACTCATTCTCTTGATGTCAGTCAGCCACTTTAACCAGCCACCCTAGTGATTTCTCAATGGACCCATGTGCAAACTGGTCATGTTGTCCAGAATAGAGGCTCTGCATGGGCTCAGCAATATGATGTTCTCACAAAGGCTGGCCTTGCAGCCCAGCTACATTGCTACTGCTAACAATACTAACTGGCCAACAGCACAAACCAACACTGGGTCTCCAATTTGCCACCCTTCCTTGGAGAGACAAGTCAGCCAGCCACCTGGTGGTCAGTTGATTATATTGGACTGTTTCCCTCATGGAAGCGGACAGAGATCTTTTCACTGGAATGGACACATATTCTGGATATGGACTTGCCTTCCCTGCCTATAATGCTTGCACCACTATGCATGGACTCATAAAATGCCTTATTCATTTCAACTGTATTCTGCACAACAGTGCGTGTGATTATTTCACAGCAAAAGAAATACAACGATGGGATTATGCCCATAAAATTTACAGGTCATACCATGTATTCCTTCACCTAGAAACATCTGGCCTAGTAGAAAAGTATAATGGCTTACTGAAGACTCAGTTGGTTTAAAGACAATGTCCTGAAAGAAAGCCATGCTATCTTACAAGATGCAGTGTGTGTTTTGAATCAGAGACCAATATGTGGTGCTGTCTTTCCCACAGCCAGAATAAATACAGGAATCAAGAGATGGAAATGGGGCTGGGCACGGTGGCTCATGTCTGCAATCCCAGCATTTTGGGAGGCCAAGGTGGGTGAATCACTTGAGGTCAGGAGTTTGAGACCAGCCTGGGCAACATGGTGAAACCCCATCTCTACTAAAAATACAAAAGCTAGCCATGTGTGGTGGTGCATGCTTGTAATCCCAGCTACTCAGGAGGCTGAGGCAGGAGAATCGCTTGAACCCAGGAGCCAGAGGTTTCAGTGAGCTGTGATTGTGCCACTGCACTCCAGTCTGGGTGACAGAGAAAGACTCCATCTCAAAAAAAAAAAAAAAAAAAAAAAAGAGGATAAGTTCCAAGATGGCCGAATGGGAATAGCTCTGGTCTGCAGCTCCCAGTGAGATGGACGCAGACGTGGGTGATTTCTGCATTTCCAACCAAGTGTAAACAAAGAGGCCTGGAAGCTCGAACTAGGTGGAGCCCACCGCAGCTCAGCAAGGCCTACTGCCTTGCTGTAGATTCCACCTCTGTGGGCAGGGCATATCAGAACAAAAGGCAGCAGACAGTTTCAGCAGACCTAAACGTCCCTGTCTGACAGCTCTGAAGAGAGCAGCGGTTCTCCCAGCACGGCGTTCAAGCTCTGAGAACGGACAGACTGCCTCCTCAAGTGGGTCCCTGACCCCCGTGTAGCCTGACTGGGAGACACCTCCCAGTAGGGGCCAACAGACACCTCATACAGGTGGGTGCCCCTCTGGGACAAATCTTCCAGAGGAAGGGTCAGGCAGCAATATTTGCTATTCTGCAGCCTCCGCTGGTGATACCCAGGCAAACAGGGTCTGGAGTGGACCTCCAGCAAACTCCAACAGACCTGCAGCTGAGGGGCCTGACTGTTAGAAGGAAAACTAACAAACAGAAAGGAATAGCATCAACATCAAAAAAAAGCACATCCACACCAAAACCCCATCTGTAGGTCACCAACATCAAAGACCAAAGGTAGATAAAACCACAAAGATGGGGATAAACCAGAGCAGAAAAGCTGAAAATTCCCAAAACCAGAGCACGTCTTCTCCACCAAAGGATCGCAGCTCCTCGCCAGTAAGGAACAAAACTGGATGGAGAATAAGTTTGATGAATTGACAGAAGTAGGCATCAGAAGGTCGGTAATAACAAACATCTCTGAGCTAAAGGAGCATGTTCTAACCCATCACAAGGAAGCTTAAAAACCTTGAAAAAAGGTTAGACGAATGGCTAACTAGAATAAACTGTGTAGAGAAGATCTTAAATAACCTGATGGAGCTGAAAACCACAGCATGAGAACTTTGTGACACATGCACAAGTTTTAATAGCTGATTTGATGAAGTGGAAGAAACAGTATCAGTGATTGAAGATCAAATTAATGAAAAAAAAGCAAGAAGACAAGATTAGAGAAAAAAGAGTGAAAAGAAATGAACAAAGCCTCCAAGAAATATGGGACTATGTGAAAAGACCAAATCTACATTTGATTGGTGTTCCTGAAGGTGACGCAGAGAATGGAACCAAGTTGGAAAACACACTTCAGGATATTATCCAGGAGAACTTCCCCAACCTAGCAAGGCAGGCCAACATTCAAATTCAGGAAACAGAGTGAACACCACAAAGATACTCATCGAGAAGAGGAACCCCAAGACACATAATTGTCAGATTCACCAAGGTTGAAATGAAGGAAAAAATGTTAAGGGCAGCCAGAGAGAAACGTCAGGTTACCCACAAAGGGAAGCCCATCAGACTAACAGCGGATCTCTCAGCAGAAACCCTACAAGCCAGGAGAGAGCAGGGGCCAATATTCAACATTCTTAAAGAAAAGAATTTTTAACCCAGAATTTCATATCCAGCCAAACTAAGCTGAAGGAGAAATAAAATCCTTTACAGACAAGCAAATGCTGAGAGATTTTGTCAACACCTGGCCTGCCTTACAAGAACTCCTGAAGGAAGCACAAAACATGGAAAGGAACAACCAGTACCAGCCACTGCAAAAACATGCCAAATTGTAAAGACCATCAATAATATGAAGAAACTGCATCAATTAATGGGCAAAATAACCAGCTAACATCATAATGACAGGATCAAATTCACACATAACAATATAACCTTAAATGTAAATGGGCTAAATGCCCAAATTAAAAGACACAGACTGGCAAATTGGATAAAGAGTCAAGACCCATTGGTGTGCTGTATTCAGGAGACCCATCTCACATGCAAAGACACACGTAGGTTCAAAATAAAGGGATGGAGGAAGATCTACCAAGCAAATGGAAAGCAAAAAAAAGCAGGGGTTGCAATCCTAGTTTCTGATAAACTAACAAAGATCAAAAGAGACAAAGAAGGCCATTACATAATGGTAAAGGGATCAATTCAACAAGAAGAGCTAACTATCCTAAATATATATGCACCCAATACAGGAGCACACAGATTCATAAAGCAAGTCTTTAGAGAACTACAAAGAGACTTAGACTCCCAAACAATAATAATGGGAGACTTTAACATCCCACTGTCAATATTAGACAGATCAATGAGACAGAAGGTTAACAAGGATGTCCAGGACTTGAACTCAACTCTGGACCAAGCAGACCTAATAGACATCTACAGAACTCTCCACCCCAAATCAAGAGAATATACATTTTTCTCAGCACCACATCACACTTATTTTAAAATTGACCATATAATTGGAAGTAAAACACTCAGCAAATGCAAAAGAACAGAAATCACAACAAACTGTCTCTCAGACCACAGTGCAATCAAATTAGAACTCAGGATTAAGAAACTCACTCAAAACCACACAACTACATGGAAACTGAACAATCTGCTCCTGAATGACTATTGGGTGAATAACTAAATGAAGGAAGAAATAAAGAAGTTCTTTGAAACCAATGAGAACAAAGACACAATGTACTAGAATCTCTGGGACACATTTAAAGCAGTGTGTAGAGGGAAATTTATAGCACTAAATGCCCACAAGAGAAAGCAGGAAAGATCTAAAATCAACACCCTAACATCACAATTAAAAGAACTAGAGAAGCAAGAGCAAATAAATTCAAAAGCTAGCAGAAGGCAAGAAATAACTAAGATCAGAGCAGAACTGAAGGAGATAGAGACACAAAAAAACCTTCAAAAAATCAATGAATCCAGGAGCTGTTTTTTTTTAAATCAACAAGATAGACAGCTAGCAAGACTAATAAAGAAGAAACGAGAGAAGAATCAAATAGATGCAATAAAAATGATAAAGGGGATATCACCACCGATCCCACAGAAATACACTACCATCAGAGAATACTATTAAAAACTCTATGCAAATAAACTAGAAAATCTAGAAGGAATGGATAAATTCCTGGACACATACACCCTCCCAAGACTAAACCAGGAAGAAGTTGAATCTCTGAGTAGACCAATAACAGGTTCTGAAATTGAGGCAATATTTAATAGCCTACCAACCAAAAAAAGTCCAGGACAAGACAGATGCACAGCTGAATTCTACCAGAGGTACAAAGAGGAGCTGGTACCATTCCTTCTGAAACAATTACAATCAACAGAAAAAGAGGGAATCCTCCCTAACTCATTTTATGAGGCCAGCATCATCCTGATACCAAAGCCTGGCAGAGACACAACAAAAAAAGAGAATTTTAGGCCAATATCCCTGATGAACATCAATGTGAAAATCCTCAATAAAATACTGCCAAACCAAATCCAGCAGCACATCAAAAAGCTTATCCACCATGATCAAGTGGGCTTCATCCCTGGGATGCAAGGCTGGTTCAACATATGCAAATCAATTAACAAAATCCATCACTTAAACAGAACCAATGACGAAAACCAAATGATTATCTCAATAGATGCAGAAAAGGCCTTTGACAAAATTCAACAACCCTTCATGCTAAAAACTCTCAATAAACCACGTATTGATGGAACGTATCTCAAAATAATAAGAACTATTTATGACAGACCCACAGCCAATATCATACTGAATGGGCAAAAACTGAAAGCATTCCCTTTGAAACCCAGCACAAGACAAGGATGCCCTCTCTCACCACTCCTATTCAATATAGTGTTGGAAGATCTGGTCAGGGAAATCAGGCAAGAGAAAGAAATAAAGGGTATTCAATTAGGAAAAGAGGAAGTCAAATTGTCTCTGTTTGCAGATGACATGATTGTATATTTAGAAAACCCCATCGTCTCAGCCCAAAATCTCCTTAAGCTGCTAAGCAACTTCAGCAAAGTCTCAGGATACAAACTCAACGTGCAAAAATCACAAGCATTCCTATACACCAATAACAGACAAACAGAGAGCCAAATCATGAGTGAACTCCCATTCACAATTACTGCAAAGAGAATAAAATACCTAGGAATTCAACTTACAAGGGATGTGAAGGGCCTCTTTAAGGTGAACTACAAACCACTGCTCAATGAAATAAAAGAGGACACAAACAAATGGAAGAACATTCCATGCTCTTGGTTAGAAGAATCAATATCATGAAAATGGCCATACTGCCCAAGGTAATTTATAGATTCAATGTCATCCCCATCAAGCTACCAATGGCTTTCTTCACAGAATTGGAAAAAACTACTTTAAAGTTCATATGGAACCAAAAAAAGAGCCCACATAGCCAAGACAATCCTAAGCAAAAAGAAAAAAGCTAGAGGCATCATGCTACCTGACTTCAAACTGTACTACAAGGCTTCAGTAACCAAAACAGCATGCTACTGGTACCAAAACAGATATATAGACCAATGGAACAGAACAGAGTCCTCGGAAATAACACCACACATCTATAATCATCTGATATTTGACAAACCTGACAAAAACAAACACCGGGGAATGGATTTCCTATTTAATAAATGGTGCTGGGAAAACTGGCTAGCCATATGTAGAAAGCTGAAACTGGATCCCTTCCTTACACCTTATATAAAAATTAACTCAAGATGGATTAAATACTTAAATGTAAGACCTAAAACCATAAAAACCCTAGAAGAAAACCTAGGCAATACCATTCAAGACACAGGCATGGGCAAGGACTTCATGACTAAAACACCAAAAGCAATGGCAAAAAAAAGCCAAAATAGACAAATGGGATCTAATTAAACTAAAGAGCTTCTGTACAGCAAAAGAAACTATCATCAGAGTGAACAGGCAACCTACAGAATGGGAGAAAATTTTTGCAACCTACTCATCTGACAAAGGGCTAATATCCAGAATCTACAAAGAACTTAAACAAATTTACAAGAAAAAAACAAGCAACCCCATCAAAAAGTAGGCAAAGGATATGAAAAGACACTTCTCAAAAGAAAACATTTATGCAGCCAACAGACATATGAAAAAATGCTCATCATCACTGATCATCAAAGAAATGCAAATCAAAATCACAATGAGACACCATCTCATGCCAGTTAGAATGGTGATCATTATCACGAAACAACAGATGCTGGAGAGGATATGGAGAAATAGGAACACTTTTACACTGCTGGTAGGAGTGTAAATTAGTTCAACCATTGTGGAAGATAGTGTGGTGATTCCTCAAGGATCTAGAACTAGAAATACCATTTGACCCAGCCATCCCATTACTGGGTATATACCCAAAGGACTATAAATCATGCTGCTATAAAGACACATGCACACGTATGTTTATTGTGTCACTATTCAGAATAGCAAAGACTTGGAACCAACCCAAATGTCCATCAATGATAGACTGGATTAAGAAAATGTGGCACATATACACCGTGGAATACTATGCAGCCATAAAAAAGGATGAGTTCATGTTCTTTGCAGGGACATGGATGAAACTGGAAACCATAATTCTCAGCAAACTATCACAAGGACAGAAAACCAAACACCGTATGTTCTCACTCATAAGTGGAAGTTGAACAATGAGAACACATGGACACAGGGAGGGGAACATCACACACCAGGGCCTGTAAGGGGGTGGGGAGCTGGGGGAGGGATAGCATTAGGAGAAATACCTAATGTAAATGAAGAGTTGGTGCAGCAAACCAACATGGCACATGTATACCTATGTAACAAACCTGCAGGTTATGCACATGTATCCCAGAACTTAAAGTATATACATAAAAAAGAGAGAGATGGAAATGGGAGTGGCTTTTCTCACTATTATGCCTATTTGCAGAAATTTTGCTTTCCATCCCCATAACATTGCACTTTACTAACCTGAAGGTCTTGATTCCCAGAGTAGAAATGCTTTCACAAAAGGCCACAACAATTGAACTGGACGATGAAATTGACACTTGGATATGTAGTACTCCTCATGCCATCAAACTAAAGATAAATAAGGACATTGCTATATTGGATGGGGAGACTGAACCAGATTCAAGGCAAAATTGGGTTACTGATATGCTGCAAGGATAAAAATGACTATGTCAGAGAAATGCAAATCAAACCCACAATGAGATACCATCTCATGCCATTCAGAATGGCAATTATTAAAAAGTCCAGAAATAACAGATGCTGGTGAGGTTCCGGAGAAGAAGGAATGCTTTTACACCGTTGGTGGGAGTGTAAATTAGTTTAACCATTGCAGAAGACAGTGTGGCAATTCCTCAAAGATCTAGAGGCAGAAATATCATTTGACCCAGCCATCCCATTACTGGGTATATACCCAAAGGCATATAAATCATTATATTATAAAGATACATGCATGCTTATGTTCATGGCAGCACTACTCACAATAGCAAAGACATGGAATCAACCCAAATGCCCACCAAGGATAGACTAGAGAAAGAATATGTGGTACATATATGCCATGGAATACTATGTGCCATAAAAAGGAACGAGATCATATCCTTTGCAGGGACATGGTTGGTTCTAGAAGCTGTTATTGTCAGCAAACTAATGCTGGAACAGAAAACCAAACACCTATGTTCTCACTTGTAAGTGGGAGCTGAATGATAATAACACATGGACACAGGGAGGGGAACAACACACACTGGGGCCTGTTGGAGTGGGGATTACTGGGCAGGAGAGCATCAGGAACAATAACAAATAGATGCTGGACTTAATACCAAGGTGATCTGAGCAGGAAACCACCATGGCACACATCTACTTATGTAGCAAACCTGCATACCCTGCACATGTACCCTGGAACTTAAAATAAAAGCTGAAGGGAAAAAAATCACTATGTCTTCAGCCTAGGGTATTCTTCAGAGAACCTCTTAGTACTTCAATGTCCAATAGTAAAAGGTAATGAAGACTTCAGTAACCAAACCAAGTCAGGACTACTGAGCATTTAGACACTTCAGGAATGAAGGTTTAGGTCACCTCATCAGGTAAAGAACTCAGCGTTGCTAAGGGCTTGACTAAGTAAGGAGTAACAAGGAATGGTTAGTGGGTCACAGTTATAACTAACAACCGTGGTCCCATGACTGGTTACAGAAAGGAGGACGTAGCAGCTACATATATTTTCTTCATTGTTTATGTGTGTGCATGTATGTGTGTGCATTTGTATGAACTATTTTATTCTTCCTCTTTTTCCTTTTATTACTTAATACAAGTTTTGTTGGAGGTTAAACTATAACGTTTAGTATTTCAGTAACAGAAAACCAGCTAAGACTGTGGGTGAATTTAAGGAGTTATTAAAATAGTGTGGAGATGGACGGTGTGATTGCCTGCCACAGTGGATATAATGACTGCTGGGGCATAGTGTCTCCTCATTTTAGGGGAGGATGAGAATGTCTTTGTATATGGGATAGTTGCATCTAGGGGAATGGTAGAAATGTCTCATTGTATAGAAGTTTAAATATGTATAGAAAAGTTTGTGTAATGCTGAGTGGTCAAAGAGGTCATCATCTCTCAGCCCCACCCCACCCTCCATGCTACACTCGGCTTTGTGATGGGAGCTAGTACTCCGCTAATACTCTGGGACCCCATTTCCACTTTGTTCTCTTACTCAGCCAAGGGGTACCAGCAGGAGGCTGCACAGCTAGAGAAAAAAGGAACTTGCTTTTTTTTTTTTTCTGAGATGGAGTCTCGCTCAGCTTTCCAGGCTGGAGTGCAGTGCAGTGGTGTGATCTCGGCTCACTGCAACCACCGTCTCCCAGGTTCAAGCGATTCTCCTATCTCAGCCTCCCGAGTAGCTGGGATTACAGGCACCCACCACCATGCCTGGCTAATTTTTGTATTTTAGTAGAGACAGGGTTTCACCATGTTGGCCAGACTGGTCTTGAACTCCTGACCTCAGGTGATCCACCCTCCTTGGCCTCCCAAAGTGCTGGGATTGCAAGCATGAGCCACTGCACCTGGCTGGGACTTGCTTTTCTTCTGTTTGCTTCTTGTTGGCTTTTTGTTGGTGTCCAGTCCTCTCCCTGCTCCTCCAAGCATCGCTCCAGCAGCAGCAGTTCCTTTCTTTGGCAGAGGCAGAATCCACTTTACACTTTTCCCGGTACTTGCAGAACCAGCTGAATAAGACCTTGTCAGAGACACCAGCATCAGTGGGCCACAGTGCTGCCCTTTCAGAGGTGTGGGGTAAAGTCTTGAAACAATGTCTCCCAATTCCCTGTTCAAGGTTGTCCTTCATTAATGAATCTTATGTTCCCATCACACTAATTCCTGGATTTGGGAAAGGGGGATGAGAGTCAATGTGTAGACAGGAGAGGCTACTTTGAATCTAGTGCTGGGCTGGTTTGGAGTAAAGAGGAAATGCAGGAGGAATGGGGCGCTGGTTGGTGGCGCCATTAGTTAAGGTGAGACCATGGGATAACATAGAGAGCTATCAGAAAGGCGCGGTAAAAATGGAGGGAAGGGTACAATATAGGGGGACAGAGGAGAAGAGCAAGGAAGGAACAAAAGGCTAGAGGCAAATGGTAAAAAACAGACAATACTGTGCTGAAATGAAGTTGAGAGACTGGGCCAGGCATACTGGCTCATGCATCTAAATCCTAGCACTTTGGGAGGCTGAGGTGAGTGGATCACTTGGGCTTAGGAGTTTGAGACCAGCCTGGGAAACATGGTGAAACCCCGTCTTTACCAAAAGTACAAAAATTAGCCGGGAGTGGTGGCGTGCACCTGTGGTCCCAGCTACGTGGGAGGCTGAGGTGGGAGGATTGGTGGAGCCTGGGAAGTTAGGGCTGCAGTGAGGCATGATTGTGCCACTGCACTCCAGCCTGGGTGACAGAGCAAGACCCTGTCTCAATTAAAAAAAAAAAAAAAGGCTAGGTGCGGTGGCTCAGGCCTGTAATCCCAGCACTTTGGGAGGCCGAGGTGGGTGGATCACCTGAGGTCAGGAGTTCAAGACCAGCCTGACCAACATGATGAAACCCTGTCTCTACTAAAAATACAAAAAATTAGCCGGGCCTGGTGGCGGGCGCCTGTAATCCCAGCTACTTGGGACGCTGAGGCAGGAGAATTGCTTGAACCCAGTAGGCGGAGGTTGCAGTGAACTGAGATCACACCATTGCACTCCAGCCTGGGCAACAAGAGCAAAACTCCGTCTTAAAAAAAAAAAAAAAGGAAAAAGAAACAAGAAATTGAAAGACTGACAAGCCACCATTAATATTTAGGTGTGTCTCCTTATAATGTTTTCTATGCTTTTTATATACTTATTCAATTTTAGATTCTGCCTTTTTCACTTGATGTTACAACATAAGCATTGTCTCTTGTTACAAATTATTCATCAACATTGTTTTTAATGACTTCTTAAAATCCAGTTCTTTGGTTAGATCATATTTTATTTAACTATTTCTCTTCAGATGACCATGCAGGTTGTTTTCAATGTATATTAAAATAATTTCATGGCTATTTCTGTGAAAAACTTTTCATGCATTTCAGGTTGTATCCTTAGGATATATTCCTCAAAGTAGAATTACTGTGTCAAATAATGTGGATATTTTAAATCTTAATCTTTGTAATCTTAATTCTTACTCAAATTCTTACAGATCCATAATCCTTTGTCCATAATCCCATACTCCAAGAAGAACTGAAAATTGAAAGCTTTTTTTTTTTTTGAGATGGAGTCTCGCTCTGTCACCCAGGCTGGAGTGCAGTGGTGCAGTCTCGGCTCACTGCAAGCCCCGCCTCCCGGGTTCATGCCATTCTCCTGCCTCAGCCTCCCGAGTAGCTGGGACTACAGGTGCCCGCCACCACGCCCGGCTAATTTTTTTGTATTTTTAGTAGAAACGGGGTTTCACTGTGTTAGCCAGGATGGTCTCGATCTCCTGACCTCGTGATCCGCCCGCCTCGGCCTCCCAAAGTGCTGGGAATTACAGGCGTGAGCCACCGCGTCTGGCCTGAAAGCTTTATATTTTACCTGACCTTTTATCATTTAGCAGCAAAACCTGAGTAGAACTGATGTGAGATGATTTATAGACATTAATTTTCCCACTTAGTATGAATATTTATGTTTTTCAGAAATATTAGTGTGTTTGATTAAGAGGCACTATCTCAGAACCCACTCAGAGTGTTGGGTAATTATGTAGTATTTGTGTCAACTGCCTTTTGAAAATTCCCAAATGCCTTACTTACAAAACATATCCAGCTTTAAGGGTTTCAGATAAGGATTGTGAACCTGTACCAGGAGTGTTATAACAAGGCACTGGATATGTTAATTCATATATATATATATTTGCTGAACTTGACACCAGTATTATGGGCTGAACTGTGGCTTTCCCTCCCCCAAAATTCGTATGTTAATGTCCTAACCCCCCAGTATCTTAGAATGTGACTGTATTTGGAGTCTTTAAAGATGTGATTAAATTAAAATGTGGTCATTAGGATAGCCCTAATGCAATAACTAGTATCCTTATAAGAAGGGAAGGTTAGGACACAGACACACACAGAGAGAAGACTACTTGAGACAGAGCAAGTCATCTACAAGCCAAGGAGTGAGGCCTCAGAAGAAATCACCCTACCGACATCTGTTTTTTTTTTTTGTTTTTTTTTTTTTATGGAGTCTTGCTCTGTCACTCAGGCTGGAGTGCAGTGGTGTGATCTCAGCTCACTGCAAGTTCCGCCTCCTACGTTCACGCCATTCTCCTGCCTCAGCCTCCCAAATAACTGGGACTACAGGCGCCTGCCACCACATCTGGCTAATTTTTTTTGTATTTTTAGTAGAGACGAGGTTTCACCGTGTTAGCCAGGATGGTCTCGATCTCCTGACCTCATGATCTGCCTGCCTTAGCCTCCCAAAGTGCTGGGATTACAGGTGTGAACCACTGTGCCTGGCCCCCTGCTGACATCTTGACCACAGACTTCTAACTTTCAGAACTGTGAGCAAATAAATTTCTGTTGTTTATACCACCCAGTCTGCAGTACTTTGTTATGGCACCCTAAAAAACGAATAATGTACAACTGGTGACATATAACTTTTATAACTAACAAAATTAGATACCAGTCAACCAAACAAAAACCACAAAATCCATCTTTCAAAATGTGATTGGTTTTACCACTGTAGCTTACTATTATACTTTGAGCTCCTGCTCTCAGGGAAGGTTTACAGCTCATTTCTCCCTTAGGTACCCCATTTTCTCTCAAATTCCAATTAATAAACAAGATGGTACTTCTCATTTCAGGTATTAGCTCCTGTTGCCTAATAACTATATACAACATCAATACGTAGTTTTTATTGTTTTTATTATGTTTGGCTAATAAACTCAAGACTAACCAGAAGATCTAGGGTCTCTGAGATCCTGCTGTCAGTCTCCTTTTTTTATTTTTAATTTTTTGAGACAGGGTCTCACTCTGTTGCCCAGGCTGCAGTGCGGTGGCACTATCATAGCTCACTGCAGCCTCGACCTTCCGGGCTCAAATGATCCTCCCACCTTAGCCTCCCAAGTAGCTGGGACTACAGACATGCACCACCACACCAGGCTAATTTTTTTTTATTTTTAGTAGAAATGAAGTTTTGCTATGTTGCCCAGGCTGGTCTTGAACTCCTGAGCTCAAGAGACCCTCCTGCCTTGGCCTCTGAAAGTGCTGGGATTATAGGTGTGAACCACTGCACCTCGCCCACACTGTCAGTCTCTTGATCTACGACAGACTCTCAATCTTTTTATTCATCTCCAGAAAGAACAGATTACTGTTCACGTGTAAACAGGATCACATGCACAATTTCAGTACCTACTCCAGTCTCTCCTAGGAAGCATATTGGAATGGAAACGGATATTATTATATCAATAGCCTAGGGATTACTTTAATTTTAATTTATTTATTTTATAGAGACATAGTCCCCACCATGTTGCCTAGGCTGGAGTGCAGTGTCTATTCACAGGCATGATCCCACAGCTGATCAGCATGGGAGTTTTTTGTTTCTGTTTTTCAGACAGAGTCATACTCTGTCATTCAGGCTGGAGTGCAATGGCGCAATCTCAGCTCACTGCAACCTCTGCCTCCCAGGTTCAAGCAATTCTCCCTGCCTCAGCCTCCCGAGTAGCTGGGATTACAGGCACGTGCCACCACGCCTGGATAATTTTTGTATTTTTTAGTAGAGATGGGGTTTCGCCATGTTGGCCAGGCTAGTCTTGAACTCCTGACCTCAGGTGATCCGCCTGCCTCAGCCTCCCAAAGTGCTGGGATTACAGGTGTAAGCTACTGCGCCCAGCGCTGCACGGGAGTTTTGACCTGCTCAGTTTCTGACTTGGGCCAGTTCACCCCTCCTTAGGCAACCTGGTGGCCCCTCACTCTTGGGAAGTCACCATATTGATGGCGAACTTAGTGCAGACACTCGAATAGTATAGCACACTACAGCCCACAGCTCCTGGGTTCAAGTGATCCTTCCTGCCTCAGCTCTCAGCTTCCTCAGTAACTGGGGAAAGTAAAGATTGCTTTACTTTTTTTTTTTTTTTTTTTTTTTTTTTGTGAGACAGAGCCTCATTCTGTCACCCAGGATAGAGTGCAGTGGTGTGATCTTGGCTCACTGCAACCTCTGCTTCCTGGATTCAAGTGATCCTCCCACCTCAGCCTCCCAAGTAGCTGGGACTACAGGTGCATGCCACCACACCCGGCTAATTTTTGTATTTTTTGTAGAGACAGGGTTTCCCCATATGGCCCAGGCTATTGTTGAACTCCTGAGCTCAAGATATCTGCCCACCTCGGCCTCCCAAAGTATTGGGATTACAGGCATGAGCCACTGGTCTGCCCTCATTTACCTTTTAAACATTAAGGTAAGGCCAGGCACAGTGGCTCATGCCTGGAATCCCAACACTTCAGGAGGCTGAGGCAGGAGAATCGCTGGAGCCCAGGAGTTCAAGGCTTTAGTGACCTATGATCACACCACTGTACTACAGCCCAGGCACTAGAGTGAGACTCTCTCACACACACACACAAAAACAAAAAAACAAACAAACACACAAAAAAACAAACAAACAACAAAAAAAGTAAATCATCAGAAAACTTCAACACTTGTTAAATTGTTAAAACGATCGTTAGTGTTTGTCACTTTACAAGTGACCGTAATGAATTAACATTTCTAAAGTACTGAACTCTGTTACTGTATTGAAAAGACACCTGATTGGGTAAGAACCTGGGCCACTTTAGTAATAAAAAGATCTGTTTTCTCCACAACAGCCACTCTTACAGCTAGTAAACACTTTAGGAAAGGTGTGACTTTTTGTGGTGAAATGGGAGGAGTACCTCCTGTACTACTGTCTCCACGTAAGCCTAGTAGGGGCAGAGATTTTTTTTTAAGAGAAACACCCATAAATGGGAGGCAGTTGGTATAGTGCAAGGGCATATGATTCTGTGCTCCACAAAAACTAGGTTCCTGGTTCATCGACAAGGATGTGTGGAGTTGTAAAGTTCATTTTGAAGGATAAATGTTAATTCTGGCATTTATTGACCATCCACTGCATGCAATATGCCTAACAGTTTGTAAATCCCAATATGAAAGAAAAAAATCTCATTCAACAATTGTAACACAAGTGAATGTATTGATTATTTAGTTTAGAAACAGGGTCTTGGCTTTGTTGCTCAGGCTGGTCTGGAACTCCGGGGCCCAAGTTATCTTCCTGCCTCAGCCTCCCAAGTAGCTGGGAATACAGGCGCGCGCTAACCTGACTATAAGTGGATGTATTTATTCTCAGAATATTTATTGAGTGCCCACTATGTGTCACACTGTTCTAGGGGCTGGAGATGCAGCAATAAAGGCAACAAAAGTTATTGTGCTTTTTGTTCATGATTCAGAGGTGCGGCTTACTTTTTAGTGAGGGAGGTTACAATCTAGTGAAATGGTGATTTGCAGCATGGGGGATTTTTAGAGTGCTTGATTTAGTTTCCTTTTTATTTAAAAATACATTGTTGCCATCACTTTTGCAAGTAGAGCAGTTCTTGTCAGTCTATTTGAGGATCCATCCAGTTGAGGCATTTAAAAACATCACAATGCCTTAGACTTGCAAGGGACCTTAGTTGTGATAATAGTTTTAACTCCTTTATTTTACATATGAAAAAAACTTAGCTGAGTTTACCCACTGCATTACTGAGAGGTTAAAGACTAGGCCTTAAATCTGGTTCTCTTGTATACGTGCCTCAATCATACTCCTCATGGTTCCTGGTTTCCGAATTTGGGTCTGAATCATGAGAAGCTACATTTGCAAAAAGTACAGATGGTACAACGAGTTTAGAGACTGCTATGTAAATGGAGTGATTTGGTTAATCAGAAAGAAGATGCGGTGAAAGACCAATAGGATACCTGAGCTCTAACCCTGGCCTGCTCATCAAAGAAAAACCATTTAACCTGGGCCCTAATTGCCTTGTCTTTAAAAAGAAGGGCTAGACTACGGATTTACAATGGCTCGACTTACGATTTTTCTACTTTACGATGGATTTATCGGTGTACCAAATGCATTTTCAATTTACAATATTTTCTATTTAAGGTGGATTTATCGGGAAGTATCCCCTTTCTAAATCGAAGAGCATCTGCAGTCGATGAGGCCATGTGCATAGTACTTTGAGTCCTTTAAAATATGCATCTATGCGCAGGGATTTACAAAGTGCCTGGCACATAGTGCTCAAAAAAATGTTATTTATTTATTTACTTAGAGGCGGAGTCTCGCTCTGTCGCCCAAGCTCGAGTGCAGTGGCACGATCTCGGCTCACAGCAACCTCTCACTCTCGGATTCCAGCGATTCTCCTACCTCAGCCTCCCGAGTAGCTGAGATTACAGGCGCCCGCCACCACAGCTGGCTAATTTTTGTATTTTTTAATAGAGATGGGGTTTCGCCACGTTGGCCAGGCTGGTCTTGTGAACTCCTGACCTCAGGTGATCCGCCCGCCTCGGCCTCCCAAAGTGCTGGGATTACATGCGTGAGCGACCGCAACCGGCCAAAAAATGTTATTATTAATCGCACAACAATCTCATATAGATGCAATTCAGAATATGAAAACGTTGAGAATTACAGAAATTAAGCAATACTTCCAAGGTCTATCAGCTAAGAAACAGGAGAAGCAGGCTGAGAATCCTGGGCTTCTGACTGTATTATTTCCTATGTAGTTTAGCTATAAAATTATTTTACATGAATTCGGACTTGATGTAAACCTAGAAAGATGGACAGAAACAGCACAGTTAAAGAGGGATATACTTTATGCAGAAGTAACCCATGTGCATGAAGGAAGGGTTCTGGTAAGGGAATGAATTTCATCTGCACTCTTTGTCAGGAGGCAGCTTTCCTTATGGGAGAGGGAGGCAGAGGTAGGGAAAATGTGTGAAGCCTTTGAATGCCAGGCTAAGGAGTGTGGGCAAGTCGTTAGTGGTTCTTTATCAGAGTGGTGGCATAGTATTAACAGCATTTTATTATTAATCTGGTTGTGGATTACTGAATACATTGGGGAGGTAGAAGTGGAGCTTCGGAGACCAGTTAGATGGCTGTTGCTGGAGTCTGGAGTATGAGGACCTTTAGTATGTTGACGTAGAGACCTGGGAAGGTGTTCTTTTGTTAGCAGACAGCGTTGAGGGGACATGCAAACTCCTTATATTTAAAAAGGACTTATGAGTATATAGGGGTTTCTTTCAAAAGCAGCTACTGCAGAGGCCTGAGAGGCCAAAAGGGCGCGTTTGGAATTAAAACAGAGTTAGACTCTTGGCTTTGTCATTTTCTAATTATATAGCCTAGAGGAAGTCACCTAATCTCTCTTGAGTCTTGATTTCAATTCCTCTAAGTTAGGGTTGACAATCCCTACTTGTTAGAGCATCTGTGTGCATAAACCAGACAGTGCTTTAAGGCATGTAGCAATGGCGCTGCGTGTTGGTTCCCGCCTTCCCCCCGGTATACTGCAGGCGGGGGCTGGGTAGCTAAGGACAGCGGAGGCCAGGAAAGTCGTTCTACCTGGAGATCCCGGGCTGGCACTTCTGTCCAGACCTGGACAGGCCTCCGAACGCCGGCCGGCCCTACCTTGGACCAGGCTTCGCACGGGATGACGGAGCATCCCCTGCCAGTCGGTGGGACAGACGTTTTCCTCCTCAGAGGGGCTCTGGAGCGCGAGGCAGTCCCCGGCAGCCGGGGGTACCAAGGGGGCAACGGGGGAACAGCGCGGAGAGGCGGCGCCGGCGCCCGAGGCAGCCGCGGCCACCGCGGCCACCCCCGCACCGCCCGCCGGCTAACTCGCCGCGGGTGCTGGGCCGCGCTGGCCGCGTTTGAAGTCTCCGGCGCGGCTGCTGGTTGGCCGGCGAGGGTCACGTGCGCCCAGGCAGGAGTTTCCCCGACAGCTGGAGGCTGCGTGGGATCCGGCGGCGGCTCCCGAGCGCGGCGGTGCGGCCTTCCCCGCCCCCTCCCTCCCTCCTCCCCCGCCCGCTTCCGCCCGGCTTATTATCCTCCTTATTGACAAACAGAGCGGTCGCGGCGGCGACTCTCGGCGTGCGGTGATAGCCAAGCCATGGGAGACAAGAAGAGCCCCACCAGGTAACAGCGCCCGGGCCCCGGGGCCCGGACTGTGCGGGCGGCAGGGCCCTCGTGCAGGGCTTCGGGTGGCCGCCTCGCTAGCCGCCCGGGCACCGGGGCGAGCACGGGGGCAGCGCCGCTGGTGTGCGAGTGCTGCCGCTTGAGGGGGCCGGCGCCGGCCGCCCCACAATGGAGCCGCGATGGCGGCGGCGACCGGAGCGGCCGCCCGGGTGTCAGAGCGGCTGTGGCGGCGGCGACTGCGGCCGCGCTCGCGCCCTGCCTCTTCCTGACTCCCTTCCCCCTCAGCCGGAGCGCGGCGCGCCGAGGGCCCGCGGGGCGGGGGTCGCAGAATTGGGGCGGGGGGCGGGGCGGGGGCGGCCGCGGGGCCCGGGCACCGGGCGCGGCCTGCTGGTGACCCCGCGCCGCGTCGTGTCCGGGTTGTGTCCTGCAGGCCGAAGCGGCAGCCGAAGCCGTCCTCGGATGAGGGTTACTGGGACTGTAGCGTCTGCACCTTCCGGAACAGCGCCGAGGCCTTCAAGTGCATGATGTGCGATGTGCGGAAGGGCACCTCCACCCGGTGAGTCCCGGGCCTGCCCCTCGCGCCGCCGGCCGGCGGGGTGGCGACCAGAGGACGCCCTTGCGGCTGCCGCCCCCTCCCATGACACTGGCGGACCCGGCGGGAGGAGGCAGACGGAGGTGGCTGTGGCGATAGGAACTGGGTCACATTGATCGCAACCCAGGCGATGGTTTGCGGTGAGGGGTAATTGAAGAGGCTGTAACGTTTTTTGCTGCCAAGAGAGAATAAATTATTTAAGGGAGGCATTAGCTACTGCGATTTAATTCGTATCGCTGGGTGTAATGCCCCTCTCCCCATTCTGGGTATAAAAATGTTGGCTGCATTGTTGTGTTAGTGTGTGGGGATCAAGGAAAACCCATAAAATCTCTTTAGGAGCAAAGGATGTAATTTAATTTCGTTCCTAAAGAAAGAAAAGTATCTGATTGCAGAATACACAATATATTAAAACTTATTTTTCTACATGTACTTCTGGAAGGGTCAGATCAAGGTTTTATTTAGTGTTTTTATTCCAGTACTCTAATATTTTATAAATAAGTAGTTGGAGATGAGCCCAGTCACAGGAACAGATTTTTACTGAAAGTACCTTTATATCTTTAGTTTGATTAAATGGCAGTCTCTTAGACAAATGAGATGAAAAGATCTCTGCCTATTTTCAGACTTTATTTATTGTAAGCTTGCAGTATAATAACTCTGTCTTTTAAAAAATGACTTTGAATTAAGTGAATAAAGAAAATCATCCAGGAAATTCAGTCAGTGGCATTCTTAATCTGTCAGCACTTAGTTATCGAGCTCCTTGATTCTTATACGAAGGTACCCTTTGAATTAAATATAATCCTGTGATTTATTACTTAATATTTAGAGAAGATATGTATTTTGATATTACAAAGTCCATTAGAAACTAAACTATAACAATAAGCATACTAATCTTACTGTTGCTTTAAAAAAGAAGGCACATGTAATATTGACATATACAAATATTCAGTAGACGTTAGATTTCTAAAAAATGAGATCTTGATTTTTTAAAAAACACTTTACAGAATTTTATTAAGTTTAAAATTTAGAGACAGGAATGGTTGACAGTAACTTATCTGAAAAATTTCTCAGTGAAGCTCGCTGGTTTTGACATGCTTGTTTTTTGTAAATCATCATATGCTTTTTGTATATTCCCACAATTGATAAAATATTTCGTACATTTTTCATATTCAAAAAGCAAACTTTCAAACGTATGCTAAATTTAAGGGATTACAACAGAACATTCCAAAAAGAAAAAAAGTATTTGCTAAAATGATTGTGGTTACTATTTTTGGACCCGTGATTTGTGATTTAAGTATTTTGAAAAGCAGAGTATCTTCTTGGCTGTGTAAGGTTGGAGTTGGTTTAGAGTATATTTGTGTATCTGTGTTAGTACTTTGTGCTTTTTAAAATGCTCAATAAGCAATTTTTAGAAAATTCGTTTTTTGGAGGCAGGAACATTAAAGTGGAAACAATTATAATCTTGATCTCTGGTACTATATATTATTGCTTTTTGTTGTTCCCTCTCTATTTTCTTGTAGCCATTAGAAAAATACTGAAACTAGAAGAGCCTATATGTTTATTTGCAGGGACAGCAAGGAAGGGGGGAAGCTGGTGTCCTACTCCACAGCCAGTCTTGGGGTTAGAGGAACCCTGAGAAATAGAGTAGGTGGTGGCAGCTCAGAAGAGAAGAAACAGGCTGAATACCTGGCACCTGGAAGAAGAAGGAATATAGTACACAGGGGAGTTGGCCCAGGACAGAGAAGTGGGCCTAGTTTAAAAGAGGCTTGAGGCCCACATGGGGGCCCCTGACATTTTTTTTTTTTACCAGTACATCTAAGCTCTTGTAGATCCAATTTTTAGTGGTGGAAACATTACTTGAGGAGGACTCAGAGAAGCATTGTCATTTGGATTGAAACTGAAGAGGCTCTGGGCAACTCACCAGAAATCTAAGGGACACTGTGTTCCTGAAAGTAAGTGTTCTACACCACGACCCTCTCAGCTTCTTCCTTCCTCTCTCTGAATTCTCTTCTCTTTTGATTTTGGCTCTAAGTTAAACCTAAGAGCTCTAATTTCTCTGTTATCTGTTATTTTCCTAGTGGTTTCTGAAATTCAGGGTAGAATCTGTGTTTGTATAGAACAGTGTGGAACAGGGTATTGTTACTAGAGAAGATATTGATTGCATCACAGAATATTAATATTTTTCCTCTCTGGTAATGTTAAAAAAACAAGATTAAAGGACTGCAGAACGGTGTTGAGAAGCAAAAGTTTCAGTAGTTGGAAGAAATAATTCTCCATAATTGACTTATTAATGAACAGGGTAATTTCCAGAGTAAGGTTGGCAAGTACTAAAGCCAAGACTGGATAGCTGCAGAGCAGAAGGATGCAGTTTGCTAATGATTTGTTTGTGTGACGCACAGATGGGATTTGAATCCTTTGGGTCAGACTGACCTTTGAACTGATTCTGCCTCATTGCCAAATGTTAGGCCAAGTCTAAGCCATTCTAGACATTTGAAAAACTTTTTTCTTTTTAGACCTGCAGAGAAGATTGAGTCCTTGTTCTACCTTTGAAGTCTTCTTTTTTTCTTTTTTCTTTTTTGAGATAAGATCTCATTCTGTTGCCCAGGCTGGGTTGCAGTGGCATCATCCAGGCTCACTGCAGCCTCGAACTCCCAGGTTCAAGGAATCCTCCCACCTCAGCCTCCCAAGTAGCTGAAACTACAGATGCACACCACCATGTGTGGCTAATTTTCTTATTTTTTGTAGAGATGGGGGATCTCTATGTTGCCTAGGCTAGTCTCAAACTCTTGAGCTCAAGTGATCCTCCTACCTTGGCCTCCCAAAGAACTGGGATTATAGGAATGAGCCACCATTCGGCCCCTTTAAAGTCTTTATTGGCAATATAATTTTTTTTCTTTAAATAATATTAAGTTCAAATTCTTTATGCAACAGAAGCCCATTTCCTTTGGCTATATCCATGGTAGGTCATGTCTTTCTAGAGAACGAAGTTACATTCATGGCATGTATTTCAAAATAAAATGATTTGTTGTAGCTTCAGTTCCTCAAGTTTTAATTTTATTTTAGATTTTGGGGTACATGTGCATGTTTGTTACTTGGGTATATTGCAGAGTGGTGGGATTGGGATTCCAGTGTACCCATTACCCAAATGGTGAACGTTATACCCAACAGGTCATTTTTCAGCCCCTCACTCCAAAATTTTTTACATTGTGCTTTTGTGAGAGAAACAGTAGTAAATGTCAAACTGACAGGAAATTTTTTAAAAGGAAACAAAATGCCACGGTGACACATTATTTTCAAGATGCTGCACAGTCTTTATATCTGAAGTTTCTTTTCTTTCTTTTCTTTTCTTTTCTTTTCTTTTCTTTTCTTTTCTCTTTTTTTTTTTGAGGCAGAATTTGAGACAGTCTTGCTCTGTCGCCCAGGCTGGAGTACAGTGGCGTGACCTCGGCTCACTGCAACCTCCACCTCCCAGGTTCAAGCAATTCTCATGCCTCAGCCTCTGTGGTAGCTGGGATTACAGGTGCCCGCCACCACACCAGGCTAATTTTTGTATTTTTAGTAGAGATGGGGTTTCACTATGCTGGCCAGGCTGGTCTCAAACTCCTGACCTCAGGTGATCCGTCTGCGTCGGCTTCCCAAAGTGCTGGGATTACAGGAGTGAGACACTGTGCCCAGCCTATCTGAAGATTCTTATAAGGCAAGAAATGTCCCAAATATAAATGCAAGAAACTTTAGGAAATTAAGGATCATTCTTGGCTGGCCCAGTGGCCCACACCTGTAAGCCCAGCACCTTGGGAGGCTGAGACAGGAGGATTTCTTGAGGCCAGGAGTTTGAGACCAACCTGGGCAACACAGTGAGATCTCGTCTCTACTAAAAATTAAAAAAATTAGCTGGGTGTGGTGGTGCATGCCTGTGGTCCCAGCTACTCAGGAGGCTGAAGTGGGAGGATCCCTTGAGCCCCAGAGTTCGAGGTTGCAGTGAGCTGTGATCATACCACTGCACTCCAGCCTGGGCAACAGAGTGAGACCTTGTCTCAAAAAAACAAAATTCTGAGTCATCAGAGAAAATGAAATATTAAATATTAAGGATAGTCTGTATGAGGGTGATAATCAATGTGTGATGATTAATTTAAGACTGGTGTCTTATTGGTACTTCATCTAGTAGTGGACAGTTACTTAATATTGCTTAATTCAGATAGCAAATATTTAGAAATGAAAATGATAGAATTATTGGTTTGGGTTTCAAACTGTGGTCTAAATGGTTCATACCAGGCTTTCAAATGTAACAGGTAATGTTACATTTTGTTAGAGGATATTATAACAGTCCTTTAGGTTTCTCATAGGTGTTATTTTAGAGAGCTATAAAAAAGATTTCACATAGTAGAAAGAGTGCTAGATGTTACACTAGTATGATTTTGGTAACCTGGGTTCATATCTCATTTCATATCAACCATTTCAATATTCAGCATTCAGCAAATGTTTATTGAGCATCTTATTTAAGGGCTGAGTTGGATACTAGACATACAGTGGTGAGCAAAATGGATTTTTTTGTTTCTTTAAAATTTTACAGTTTTGCAAATTAGAACCGCTTTAACTGTACCAAGCTCTATATGTGAGGTTTAGTGTTAGTAGATCTTTCCTTTATGTGTAGGCTGAAGAGGTGGAACTTCTTCATTAAAAATATATGTTGTTTATAACTGAACACAGTATTATTATTATGGTTAGGTAAAAAGAGTGAGTTATTTCAGCTTCTTTTAAAAGTAAGCTATAAAATCCACATTCTGAAAGAAGCTTAAACCAACTATCATCTGGTAGAAATCTTTTCAGCATCGTTGTTTTCTTGTCATACTTGCTTTATGTCTTCAAATTTGAGGTTTGGCACTGATTCTTCTAGACTTTTGGTGTAGGAATGGGAGAAAAAAATTGAGGACCATCTACATAAGTCCTTTTTAAAGAAATGCATGGTTCCTGAGCCGCCTCCTGTCTATCTGAGGAGCCTTTCTAGCAACCATTTAGTTGTTCAGAGACTCCTTATTCTAGGAGATTTCTTACTTGTTTGTTTTTTGTCCTGTAAGAGGACTCACACTGGTTAATTGTATATGGGTAAATTTTACAAGTGATTATTAGTGTTTGTGTAGTCTGGATATCAGAGTGGTTTTCAAAGTGTAGTCTGAGGGACACTGAGAGTCCCTGAGATCTTTTTAGTTGAAGCTTTCTATGAGGTTCACACTGTTTTTATAATAATTTGAAGATGTTATTTGCCTTTTTCACTGTGATGGTGCAGAGGCAGTGATGGGTAAAACTGCCAGCACCTTAGCATGAATCAAAGCAGTGGCACCAAATTGCTATCTTCATTGTAATATTCACCACCATGTACATGCATGCAGTAAGAATAATGTCAGTTTGAATTAAGAATATCCTTGAAGCAGAAAAATTTACTAATTTTATTACATCTCATATTTTTAAAAATATTCTGTCTGACCAAATGGGAACTACACATAAAGCACTTCTACTGTATACCAAAGTACAGTGGTTAAGGGAAAGCACATGTGTAGTTTGTCTTGCAAGCAGAGCTAGTCTTTTTGTCATAGAGCATCATTTTTACTTGAAAGACTACCTGAAATACCATAGTTATTCAGACTTGGATATTTAGCATATATTTTCTTGAAAATGAATATATTCAAAAAATATATCACTTCAAGGAAAACACTTGATACTATATGTTGCCAGTGATAATCATTCAAGTGAAAATTAGAATTTTTGAAAATTTGTAGCAACAATGAGCTTTAGAGTTTCTGTGTATAAAGACTTTTCTGAGAAGATTAGTGGTGGTATCAATGAATATAATTTCTGATATTTCACCATGAAATGTGTCAGCATTTGGAAGCTACGCATAACTCAGCAAACAAATGGTTCCTAGTTACCGATGTATGATTTTACAAAACTGTAATGGGTAATCCATCAAAGTACAAAATACCAACAGATTTTAAGGGAACACTGAAAACTTCATTGATGTGGTTTCAGATTTCATATTGCAACTAACCTTTGAGAAACAACTGTGTTTTTATGTAGTATCAAAGAATAACACCTATAGTTATCTGAAAATGCTATTCAACTACTTACCTCTTTTCAACTGTATATCTGTGAGAGTCCAGATTTTCTTAATATTTTTGGACCAAAACAACATATTGCAACAAATTGAATGCTGAGATAGATGTGACAATCCAGGTGTCTTCTACTAACCAGATGTTAGAGGTTTGCAAAAATATACGATGCCACTCTTCATACAAAATATCTTTGTTTTGGAAAATAATAAGTTTTTAAAATAAAAATATGTCATTTAATATGTGATGTATTTATTTTTTAAATGAACTAATATATTTAGATTTTTATCAGTTTTTATTTCTAATATAGTAAACATTGATAGATGACCCACATTAAGAAAAACAAAAAACAAAAACTCTTAAATTTTAAGAGTGTAAATGATCCTAAGACCAAAAAGTTTGTGAACTGCTGGTCTAGAGTTTATTGGCTTGGGTTTCTACATGCAATGGCTTTACTTCAGCAGGTATTCTTTTTATTTCCTTTATAGTGTGAGGCCTGATAACTAATATCCTAGTTGTTTAACTCAGTGGCCCAATCTCACTCATCTGTTGATGTCGCCTCCAAAGTATTTGATGTTCTTGGCCCTTTTTAAATTGAAACTCTACTTCCTTCATGTCTCTAAGACTCCTTTTTCATAGATTTCTGTGTATATCTCTGAAACCCATTTCTGCCTCCCCAAACTTGGCATCTGTATATTCTTTACTTTGTATGTGGCATAAACTCCTTTCTGGAACCTCAGCTAGAAACTGTCATTGTCTCAGCTTTGATTCTAATTTGTAGTCCTCCTTCATGTCCTTTCTCTGGATTGTCTCTTAAATCTATCCTTTTTCCTTTTATGTAGTTACAGTTCAGAAGCCCATATCACTTCTGTCATGAACTATTGGACAAATTGGTCTCTCCTTTGGAATGCTACTAACATGATCTTCATTATCTTTTTTGAAACCTATGTGATTATGTTGGTCCCTGTATATTTAAAAAAAAAATTGAGTCCTATTAGTGGCTGCTGAATAAAGGCTGAGATCCTTAGGATAGTGTTCAAGGCCATAATAATAATCTATCCCTAAACTACCTTCCTAGCTTCATTTCCTGCTGCTTATCCCAATCCTGTGCTGTGTCAGCACTGAATTATTTTTATCATATGGTACTTTTTCTTTCTCTTTCTTTCTTTCTTCTCTTTCTTCTCTTTCTTCTCTTTCTTTTCTTTCTTGAAGGAGTCTTGCTCTGTCGCCAGGCTGGAGTGCAGTAGCGCGATCTTGGCTCACTGCAATCTCCGCCTCCCAGATTTGAGCGATTCTCCTGCCTCAGCCTCCTGAGTAGCTGGGATTACAGACGTGTGCCACCATACCTAGCTAATTTTTTTATTTTTAGTAGAGACAGGGTTTCACCATGTTGGCCAGGATGGTCTCCATCTCCTGACCTCGTGATCCGCCTGCCTCAGCCTCCCAAAATGCTGTGATTGCAGGCGTAAGCCACCATATGGTACTTTTCAAAGAAGCCCTCTAGGATTACCATCCCTCCACCCCTTGGTATCATATTGATTCTATGTATGTAGAGTCAGTCATGCACTCCATAATGACATTTTTGGTGAGTGGGGGACCACATATACAGTCCCATAAAATGATACTATATTTTTACTCTACTTTTTCTATGTTTAGATACAAATACTTACCATGGTGTTACAATTACCTGCAACATTCAGTATAGTAACATCCTGTACACCTGTAGCTTCAGAGCAATAGGCTCTACCATATAGCCTAGGTATGTAGTAGGCTGTACCATCTAGGTTTGTATAAATACATTCTATGATGTTCTGACAATGAAATCACCTAACGATGCATTTTTCAGAACATATCCGTCATTAAATGATGCATGGCTGTATGTATATGTAATTATTCCTGGAGAATAAATATATTGTAGTATAATTGTCTAGACACTTATCTGCCCTACAGGGCAGAGACCGTCTTATTCACTTTGGTATTCCCAGAAGCTAATAAAATACCTGAAGTATTGTAGATATTTAAATGTTTTTTTTTTTTTTTAATTTATTTTTTTATTGATAATTCTTGGGTGTTTCTCACAGAGGGGGATTTGGCAGGGTCATGGGACAATAGTGGAGGGAAGGTCAGCAGATAAACAAGTGAACAAAGGTCTCTGGTTTTCCTAGGCAGAGGACCCTGCGGCCTTCCGCAGTGTTTGTGTCCCTGATTACTTGAGATTAGGGATTGGTGATGACTCTTAACGAGCATGCTGCCTTCAAGCATCTGTTTAACAAAGCACATCTTGCACCGCCCTTAATCCATTTAACCCTGAGTGGACACAGCACATGTTTCAGAGAGCACAGGGTTGGGGGTAAGGTCACAGATCAACAGGATCCCAAGGCAGAGGAATTTTTCTTAGTGCAGAACAAAATGAAAAGTCTCCCATGTCTACTTCTTTCTACACAGACACGGCAACCATCCGATTTCTCAATCTTTTCCCCACCTTTCCCGCCTTTCTATTCCACAAAGCCGCCATTGTCATCATGGCCCGTTCTCAATGAGCTGTTGGGCACACCTCCCAGACGGGGTGGTGGCCGGGCAGAGGGGCTCCTCACTTCCCAGTAGGGGTGGCCGGGCAGAGGCGCCCCTCACCTCCCGGACGGGGCGGCTGGCCGGGCGGGGGGCTGACCCCCCAACCTCCCTCCCGGACGGGGCGGCTGGCCGGGCAGAGGGGCTCCTCACTTCCCAGTAGGGGCGGCCGGGCAGAGGCGCCCCTCACCTCCCGGACGGGGCGGCTGGCCGGGCAGGGGGGCTGACCCCCCCCCCACCTCCCTCCCGGACGGGGCGGCTGGCCGGGCGGGGGGCTGACACCCCCACCTCCCTCCCTGACGGGGCGGCTGGCCGGGCAGAGGGGCTCCTCACTTCCCAGTAGGGGCGGCCGGGCAGAGGCACCCCTCACCTCCCGGACGGGGCGGCTGGCCAGGCGGGGGGGCTGACCCCCCCCCCCCACCTCCCTCCCGGACGGGGCGGCTGGCCAGGCGGGGGGCTGACCCCCCCACCTCCCTCCCGGACGGGGCGGCTGGCCGGGCAGAGAGGCTCCTCACTTCCCAGTAGGGGCGGCCGGGCAGAGGCGCCCCTCACCTCCCGGATGGGGTGGCTGGCCGGGCAGGGGGGCTGACCCCCCCCCACCTCCCTCCCGGACGGGGCGGCTGGCGCGGGCGGGGGGCCGACACCCCCACCTCCCTCCAGGACGGGGCGGCTGGCCGGGCGGGGGGCCGACCCCCCCACCTCCCTCCCGGACGGGGCGGCTGGCCGGGCGGGGGGCCGACCCCCCCCACCTCCCTCCCGGACGGGGCGGCTGGCCGGGCAGAGGGGCTCCTCACTTCCCAGTAGGGGCGGCTGGGCAGAGGCGCCCCTCACCTCCCAGACGGGGCGGCTGGCCGGGCGGAGGGCTGACCCCCCACCTCCCTCCTGGACGGGGCGGCTGGCCAGGCGGGGGGCTGACCCCCCCACCTCCCTCCCGGACAGGGTGGCTGGCTGGGCTGAGGGGCTCCTCACTTCCCAGTAGGGGCGGCCGGGCAGAGGCGCCCCTCACCTCCCGGACGGGGCGGCTGGCGGGGCGGGGGGCTGACCCCCCCACCTCCCTCCCGGACGGCACGGCTGGCCAGGCGGGGGGCTGACCCCCCCACCTCCCTCCCGGACAGCACGCTGGCCAGGCGGGGGGCTGACCCCCCCACCTCCCTCCCGGACGGGGTGGCTGCCGGGCGGAGACGCTCCTCACTTCCCAGATGGGGTGGCTGCCGGGCGGAGAGGCTCCTCACTTCTCAGACGGGGCAGCTGCTGGGCGGAGGGGCTCCTAACTTCTCAGACGGGGTGGTTGCCAGGCAGAGGGTCTCCTCACTTCTCAGACAGGGCGGCCGGGCAGAGACGCTCCTCACCTCCCAGACGGGGTCTCGGCAGGGCAGAGGCGCTCCTCACATCCCAGATGGGGCGGCGGGGCAGAGGCGCTCCCCACATCTCAGACGATGGGCGGCCGGGCAGAGACGCTCCTCACTTCCTAGATGTGATGGCGGCTGGGAAGAGGCGCTCCTCACTTCCTAGATGGGATGGCGGCCGGGCGGAGACGCTCCTCACTTTCCAGACTGGGCAGCCAGGCAGAGGGGCTCCTCACGTCGCAGACGATGGGCGGCCAGGCAGAGACACTCCTCACTTCCCAGACGGGGTGGCGGCCGGGCAGAGGCTGCAATCTCGGCACTTTGGGAGGCCAAGGCAGGCGGCTGCTCCTTGCCCTCGGGCCCCGTGGGGCCCGTCCGCTCCTCCAGCCGCTGCCTCCCGGGCGGCGCTCGCCGGCGCGGCGGCAAAGACTGAGACAGCTCCGCTGCCCGCTGAACTCC
This sequence comes from Homo sapiens, assembly GCF_000001405.40. Taxonomy (NCBI): domain Eukaryota; kingdom Metazoa; phylum Chordata; class Mammalia; order Primates; family Hominidae; genus Homo; species Homo sapiens. The sequence goes on along the minus strand of NC_000012.12, from coordinate 42,227,088 downwards.
ATCCTCCCGGCGGTCGGGCGGCGGCGGCTGCGGTCGGTCGCGGCAGCGGCTCCGCTTCATATCTGCAGCTGGGGCCCGCGGGCGTCAGCGCCGCGACTGTCCCGGCTCCGCACTGCCCCGGGCCGCAGCGCAGCCGCGCCAACCACCACCCGCGGCCACCATGGCCGGACGGGCTCCCTAAGCCACCGACCCCAGCCCGCGGCGCCTTCGAGCCTTCTGGGGCCTCCGGCGCCGCGACCTCCTCTCAAGATGTCTATTTAAATGTTTTCAATTAATGTTTCTTCAAATTTGACTATTGCTATTTGACACCTGGCGTTGCTTTTCCAATAATTTTGAACACTATGTTTGTAAAAATATTATCAGACTATTTTGTCTCTAAGTTGTAGGTATAAATCGTTTTAGCATTATTTATTTATTTATTTTCTGAGACAGGGTTTCAGTCTGTTGCCCAGGGTGGAGTGCAGTGGTGTGGATATAGCTTACTGCAGCCTCAACCTCCCAGGTTGAAGTGGTCCCCCCACCTTAGCCTCCCAAGTAGCTGGGACTACAGGGGTGTGCCACTATGTCTGGCTAATTTTTAAATTTTTGGTAGAGAGGGGGTGTCTCCCTATGTTGCCCAGTCTGGTCTCGAACTCCTGGGCCAAAGCAATCCTCTCACCTTGGCCTCCAAAATGTTGGGATTACAGGCATGAACCACTGCACCCAGATGTTTTAGCATTATTTCAAGGATGATATTGTACATGAACACCTTAGCATTTTTAAGGAACAGCTTTGGCAAGTTGTATAATATTGTTATGATCTCATTTGTGGCCACTTATTAGGTCTCATTTTTCAGATAGTTGAAATTTATATGATATAATATAGCTAAAAACGAAGTGTTTCTTGACTAAAATAAACCAATGAAGCTGTGAAAGTGTACAGCGTATTAAGAAATATATTGTATATTCCATTGCTACAAGGAGAATAAAATACCTAGGAATACAACTTACAAGGGATGTGAAGGACCTCTTCAAGGAGAACTACAAACCACTGCTCAAGGAAATAAGAGAGGACACAAACAAATGGAAAAACATTCCATGCTCATGGATAGGAAGAATCAATATTGTGAAAATGGCCATACTTCCCAAAGTAATTTATAGATTCAGTGCTGTCCCCATCAAGCTACCATTGACTTTCTTCACAGAATTAGAAAAACTAATTTAAATTTCATGTGGAACCAAAAAAGAGCCTGTATACCCAAAACAGTCCTAAGGAAAAAGAACAAAGCTGGAGGCATCATGCTACCTGACTTCAAACTATACCACAAGTCTACAGTAACCAAAACAGTATGGTACTGGTAGCAAAACAGACATATAGACCGATAGAACAGAACAGAGTCCTCAGAAATAACACCACGTATCTACAACCATCTAATCTTCGACAAACCTGACAAAAACAAACACTGGGGAAAGGATTCCCTATTTAATAAATGGTGTTGGGAAAACTGGCTAGCCATATGCAGAAAACTGAAACTGGATCCCTTCCTTACACTTTACACAAAATTGACTCAAGATGGATTAAAGACTTTAACATAAGACCTAAAACCATAAAATCCCTGGAAGGAAACCTAGGCAAGGTTTTATGTCCTGAAAAACTATTCAGGACATAGGCATGGGCAAAGACTTCATGACTAAAACACCAAAAGCAGTGGCAACAAAAGCCAAAATTGACAAATGAGATCTAATTGAACTAAAGAGCTTCTGCACAGCAAAAGAAACTATCATCAGAGTGAACAGGCAACCTACAGAATTGGAGAATATTTTTGCCATCTGTCCATCTGACAAAGGGCTAATATCCAGAATATACAAAGAACTTAAATTTACAAGAAAAAAAACAACCCCATCAAAAAGTGGGCAAAGGATATGAACAGACACTTCTCAAAAGAAGACATTTATGCAGCCAACAAATGTGAAAAACTCATCACTGGTCATTAGAGAAATGCACATCAAACCACAATGAGATAGTATCTCATGCCATTTAGAATGGCGATCATTAAAAAGTCTGGAAACAACAGATGCTGGAGAGGATGTGGAGAAATAGGAACGCTTTTACACTGTTGGTGGGAGTGTAAATTAGTTCAACCATTGTGGAAGACAGTGTGGTGATTCCTCAGGGATCTAGAACCAGAAATACCATTTGATCCAGCAGTCTCATTACTGGGTATATACCCAAAGGATTATAAATCATTCTACTGTAAAGACACATGCACACGTATGTTTATTGCAGCACTATTCACAAAAGCAAAGACTTGGAACCAACCCAAATGCCCATCAATGATAGACTGGATAAAGAAAATGTGGCACATATACACCATGGAATACTATGCAGCTGTAAAAAGGATGAGTTCATGTCCTTTGCAGGGACATGGATGAAGCTGGAAACCATCATTTACAGCACACTAACACAGGATCAGAAAACCAAACACCACGTATTCTCACTCATAACTGGGAGTTGAACAATAAGAACACATGGACACAGGGAGGGGAACATCACACACGGGGGCCTGTCGCGGGGTGGGGGGCTAGAGGAGGGATAGCATTAGAAGAATTGCCTAATGTAGATGACGGGTTGATGGATGCAGCAAACCACTATGGCACGTGTATACCTATGTAACAAACCTGGAGGTTCTGCACATGTATCCCAGAATTTAAAGTATAATAAAAAAAAGAAATATATTGTATTCTTCACCTAAATTATTTTCTGTTGAATGATTTTTAAAGTTAAGGTAGTTGACATCAAGGGCCTATCAGAAACTAAAATATATTATAAATACATGCTTACTGGGAAACATATGCAATGAATTATGCTAGGACTACAGAATTGTGGATGAAACCCAATTCTAGCCTTTAAGGGTTTGAATTCTAGCACAGAAGATAGGTAATATTTGCTAGTGAGTAAATACAAGGAGTTGAGAATGGATTTTCCAACATAGTTCTAGTTTTTGGAGAAGGCTGTGCTTATATGAAATCAGTTATTGTTGTGGCCATTATTATTTATTTATTTATTTATTTTACTTTAACTTCTGGGATACATGTGCAGAACTTGAAGATTTGTTACATAGATATACATGTGCCACGGTGGTTTGCTCCATCCATCAACCCATCATCTAGGTTTTAAGACCTGCATGCATTAGGTATTTGTCCTAATGCTCTCCTTCCCCTTGCCCCCCACCCCCCGACAGGCCCCAGTGTGTGATGTTCCCCTCCCTGTGTCCATGTGTTCTCATTGTTCAACTCCCACTTATGAGTGAGAACATGCGGTGTTAGGTTTTCTGTTCCCGTGTTAGTTTGCTGAGAATGATGGTTTCCAGCTTCATCCATGTCCCTGCGAAGGACATGAACTCATCCTTTTTTATGGCTGCATGTGGCCATTATTAATAAAGCACTTCTGGTGGGGCGAGGTGGCTCACACCTGTAATCCCAGCACTTTTACAGGCTGAGGCAGGAGGATTGCTTGAGCCTAGGGTTCAAGACTAGCCTGGGCAACATAGCGAGACCCTGTCTGTACAAATAAATAAATAAATATAAATAAAGCACTTTTGGTAAAATGTGCTTTAACATCATGGCCAATTTCCAGTTTGATTGATTACTTTCTCCCCTAAGAAATTTCACCCAAATTATGTTCTTTGAAACAGCTGGCACTTCATTGCTGGGTAAAGCCTTTTCTTTATCTTTTTGTTTGTGTGTATATATATGTGTGTGTGTGTGTGTGTGTGTGTATGTATTTTAAAGAAACTGCTGTTTTTAAGATGATAGTTATATAATTGATGTAAAATTTCAGTAGACTGAAACTTCCTACATAGTATGCTGGCGCTATATGTAACTTTGAAGGAAAGAGGAATAAGCAAAGAAACCTTTCACCCAACTATGATAGTTTTATAAACCTCTTTCAAACAACTCGGGTGTCAATGTGGGCTCTAATATTAATTCTGTGACTGGATTTCTACCTTCTTCACCAGTCTCATAGGGTTGTTTGATGAGCAAATGGAAGTGTATATAGGAAAACATTCTGAGCACAGTAAAGCACTGCACAAGTGACAGATAATGAAAGACACAGCTTTTTACTGAGTTTCCAACACCAGAAACTACCAATGGTAACAAAAAAAAAAAAAAGAATTTGGCAGCAATAAATTATAAGCCACCATTTATTCCTTAACAGTAATGGCCACTACTTACAGAGCACTTACTGTGTGTCAGCCACTGTGATAATGGCTTTATCATTTAATCTTCTCAACAATGAGAATTAAAACCATTTAATCTTCTCAACAATGCTTTTGAAAGAAAAGGAAAAAAAAATCCCTGAATATCATGCTGGCGATCATTGCCAATATAACCAATAAAATAGGTAACTTATGAAACAGACACTAAATAATGTAACCCTAGTACAAAATTATTTTATTTACAAAGTAGATGATTCCTGGGATGATTTTTCAAGTATTGAATATATATAAATTTAACAATCCTGCCGTTTTATGTAAGCACACTTGTATAGTGCTTTACTGTGTTCAGAGTGCTTTCCTATATATCCTTCTATTTGCTCATCAAACCGCCCCTATATGGCTGGTGAGGAAGATGGTCCGCTAGTCAAATAATTAATGTTAGAGCCTAGATTGAAACCTGGGTTGTTGGATTACTGGTTGATCTTTTCACTCATTTGTCTTTAATAAAGAGGTTTATAAAACCATCCTAGTTGAATGAAAGGTTTTTTTGCTTATTTCTCTTTCCTTCAAGGTTAGATATAGGGCCAACATTGGTAGAAAGTTTAACATTCTGTGGAATATCAAGTTTTCATTCAAGGAGTTGGTGAAACCTTAGTGTTTTTTTCTTTAAGGTATGTTTTCCTTAAATCTTTATAGCTTGGAATAATTATTTAACAAATGTTTGTTGATCATTTGTTGAACACCTACAGTGTTTTGTTTATTGGCTTTCATGGTTGTTAAGACGGTACCTTTTGTTATATGAGCTGTGATTTATAATCATGTTTTAAAAGATTCTGTATGTACTTCATTCTACAATATTGTTTATTGTGGGAAATTATAGAATTACTGAGAATTTTAGAGCTAAAAGGAACCTTTGAAGTGTTTCTAGAGTGTTTAGTCACATCCTGAGCCAGACAAGTTTTTATTACTTGAAACCTTAATGATAGACAGATAAGAGCGTCTTCAGAGGGAAGATCTTGAGAGATTGTAAGTAGAGAGGCTTGTATTAAACTTTTGAAATGGGCTGAGACTACTATTGTTTTCAAAACCTTCTTGTTGGGATTTTCAGCTAAGTTTGGAGGATTCTTAATTGTGGAACTTGGGGAACTAACATAATATTTAGCAATCTGCTGGGTGAGGTCTTTTCTATTTGTTGAAACTCATGGCTCTAGCCTCGTATCCTCTTGATAGGTAAGAAAACAGGCTGGAAGTATTGTGACTTGGGTCAGTAGTTGATCAGTGTGAGATTTAGAAATCTGAATTTCCAGTCACTTAAAAAAAATTTTTTTTAAAGAGATAGAGTCTTGCTCTGTCACCCAGGCCGGAGTGCAGTGGTGCGATCATAGCTTACTATAACTTCAAACTCCTGGGCTCAAGCTCAACCTCCCAAGTAGCTAGGACTACAGGCGTGCTCCATCACACCCAGGTAATTTTAAAATTTTTTGTAGAGATGAGGTCTTGCTATGTTGTCCAGCCTGGTCTCAAACTTTGCCTCAAGCACCCCTCCTGCCTCAGCCTCCCAAAGTATTGAGATTACAGGTGTGAGCCACCATGCCTAGCCTCCAGTCCCATTTTATAACCTTGCTGTGGTAGCATTTAATTAAATTTGCTAGCAAGTAACTTCTTAAAGATTTCTTCTTATAATTTTGCCTATACCTAGATCTAGTGGTATACCTCTTGACAGTTTCTAACATTAGACCTACTACTTATAAATAATATGAGAACTTAAGAACTAAATGTTAAAAATCTAGGCTAATAGTATGGTGAATAAAGAATAAAATGGCTGTCTTTTTTCCTATATTTACTAATATTTTTGAAGTACAAATGTTAACAAACTTCATTTTTATGTCTTTTATAACAACTTTTATTTTGCTGTATATCCTCACTTCTTTGATATCATAGTGTTTCTCAGGAGAAATACCAGTAAGTATTATTTCTCTCTTTTATTTGTGATACAAATATTAAGAATCACTGATAGTAATATAATCACTTTGATAATATGTGAATGTGTGAATGACTGGATGTGTGTGTATGGTGTAAAGTTTGTATAGCCCCCTGACAATTTTTAGACATATGAATTAAACAATTTCATCTTTACATGTTTTATAGTCTGATCAGGGTTCCTTTGCACAACATACTTTACTTTTATAGAACATACTAGGGACAGTCAACCCAGAATGGCAGCAAGTAAATGATTTTTATGCCAGGGAGGTAGCTGCTCAACAGGTAAAGCTCTTGGTGCATTTGTGGAGTAGGCAAAGTGATTTTGGTCTTCTTTCCTCTTTGTTCCATCCATTTTTGCTATTTGTCTTTTGTTCCCCCACAGCCCAAAGTCTCTTCACTAATATTTATTTCTAGGCTACCTTCTAAAATGTTATGATTGCTTCATTCTTTACTTCACCAACAGTTCTTCCTTTACTAGAAAATCTTTTATGTTTTATGTAAGTCTGAATAAAGTAATTGTTCTAAATGCTAATGTAAAGAATCTGGGTGTGGGGGATGGAGTTTTATTTTTTCCTTAAGATAATTCTTTTTCTCATGATTATAAAAGTATTATGTATACATTAAAGATTTAAGGAAGTATAAGGAGGAAGATAGTAATGATTATTTTCATATTATCATTCCAGTCAGAAGTTAGCTACTTCTAAAATGTTGTGTTTCCACTCTGTATTTTTGCATAGGTATTAGCATTTAAAATTGAAACTTGAAGTATCTCTCATTGGAAGAATGGGAAAAAAGTAGACTTTTTCCCATTTTAGGGCCTTCTCATAACCATTCTCACCTCATCTTGGTCCTCTAAGTTAGTCTCTGAGAAGTCCTCCAGTCTCTGAGAAGGCTCCAGTTTGTTTTGTCTTATTTAATTGAGCAGTTCTCAGTCTTATTTTACCAGGGAACTTTGTTTTTCAATTATAATATAGATCATGTGGAGATGTGTTGTTATGTAGGATGTTGCTATCAAAGTGTGGTCCACAGACCAGTGGCGTTAGCATCACCTGGGAGCTTGTTAGAAATGTACAATCTCAGGCCTCATTGAGGACTTACTGAATCAGAACCTGCACTTTAACAGGATCTTTAGGTTATTTATATGCACATTAAAGTTTGAGAAACACTGCTGTATTTTTTCTGGATAAGATAATGAGGTGGACGGGGTGTGAGGTATTCATCCCACTTTGAGCTGCCTTTTCCAAAGAGCTTTTCCCTCACATTTTTGTGTGTGCATGTGTGTGTGCAGGCAGGGTTGTATGTATGGGTGTGTGCCTGGGCATGCATATGTGTACAGGAATGTGAGTATGTGGGCATCTCTCTGTGTCTATATCTCTGGTCCCCCTTTCTGTTTAGCAAACACTTCTCTGAATGAGCTTAATGAACTCTCATGTCCAAAAATGCTTTCTCTGTTATACCTCCTATCTCTTATCCCTGCTCCCAGTATCTGTACACAGCTGTACATTCCTTCAACCATACAGCTCATCCAAGGCCATCTTTGGGAAGCCTTCTGTGAAAGAGCAGGCTTCAGGAAATAAGAGGGTAAAGAGGAGAGAGGTTTGCCTGTTAGAATCAAGTAACAAACTTTTTGGGGTAGACGAGACCTGGCTGTCCCTCAGGAGGCCCAGTGGTTTCAAATTGTGTTGAGTGGATTCCTAAGGTTTCATGGAATTGGCTCAGTGGGAGCAAGCAAGTGGGGCTCTGTGGTTGCCCACTTCACTTCATCCAGGTCATTTATGCCATTATATATTTTATTAGGATTTCTCTTAATTTGTATTTTATAAGGGTGTTTTGCAAAACATTTTTGGAAAATCACTGCCCTGTTTTACCACTCAAATTCTGTTCAGCACAGGCTAGGTTAATTGTGACTGGATTACCTACCCTCACATTTCAAAAAGAAGAGCTATTAGTGAGTTTTGTAGGGTGGCAGGAGAGATTTGAAGCTTTCTTTCTTGAAAGCCCTTTCTCTCTCCCTCCTTCCCTATATCTTTCCTTTTTTCCCCCCACTCATCTTCTTAGACACATTTGTTTTTTTTAAGGACCGAGATTAGTAAGGCTCAGAGCTACATAATCGACTGATTAAATTAGTAATGAGCATTATAATTTACAGATGAAACATATGTTAAATTCATAATGCTATCAAAGTATACATTATGATAACATTTAATAAGATTATTTTGGGAGCCAGTCATAATCCCAAAAGATAGGTTCCCGAATGCCATAATCTCAAATGTTGAAATCCTGAAAAATCAACATCCTTAAAGTCTAAAATCCCCCAAATCACAATCCTGAAAGGTCAAAATCCCAAAAATGTATTCTGGAAAAAATAATACATTTTTTAAAAGACACATACATTTTAAAAAGGGGATTTATTTGAGAAACAGATAAAAACAACAATTCATAGGCCACTTTACACAATAAAATAGGCAATAACATTTTTGCAAGCATAGACACTAAGGTATACTAACAACAGTCATGAAGATATAACATTTACGAGCAGACAAACCATATTCATCAGTCAAAAAGGGAAATGTATACTTGCATATCATTGTGGTTGGTAATTGTGTGCACCTAGCTTTATAACTGCAGTAATCTGAAATACCATGAAATACCTAAGCCTTGATGAGATCGATAATCATCTGTGTGTGTGTGTGTGTGTGTGTGTGTGTGTGTGTGTGTGTGTTTCCTAGTAGCCTGATGTAGACTGTCACATAAAAATTTGGACCTTACCAGCAAGTTCTAACGTCTAGAAAGTACTCTGGTAGTGTAATAGGAGTAAGCAGTATATATAGACTTAAGAATTAAGCCAGTAAAAGCAGAATTTTTTACTGTTTGCCATAGTTAAAGAGTACATCTGTTTTCAAGGTTGGGATTGTCTGAGCATGGTCATGGTCTTTTTTAGGCCACTGTGCCATTTTATATATTATGCTGTTTCTTCTGCCCTCTACTTCCCCATCCTCCACAATTTCATGGTCTTTATGATTGCTCAGGCTTCATCTCTGAAGGCTAAGCATTCCTTTGTCTCTAGGTCAGAGTGAATGCCCTCTCAATTACTCTTAAAGAATTCTTTGCTAAAAGTGATGATATATTTACACAGTGTATTGAAGATATTTTATATTTGTTTCCTTCCTGAGGGCTGTACCATTGGTCCCATTATCACATTTCAGTTTAAATCCCCTCCTTGACATTTATATTCATGTGATTTTTTTGGTGGTAATTAAATATAAGTGATAAAATGAATTCAGCACATTTCTTAGTTAATGATAATGATAATTGTAATAATATTTTTAAAATTCTCAATGCCCATCACAGTGTCTTGTGTAGGTACTGATAAAAATGAACTGCAAAAGCCCCTTTATTATATATCTGATTCTGTTGCTGCTTTAAACTGCTTTCCACTTCTTGTTTTTTAAGGAATATTTATATAATTTCATAATTTTGTGAGTTAGATGGAATATGTTAGTGGATGTTAATTGTCTCCCCACCTATATTTATGGGTGTTAGCGCAACTGCTTTGCTAGTTGCAAAGCTGTATTATCAGAGTAAAAGTGTATTTGTAAACTGTATGGGAACTAAAAATTAGGAATAAAACCATTTTCTTATAAAAAAAATTATACCCATTTTACTGGATAGAAGAACTTACATCAATCTAAGCTACCTGCATGTTCAATTATTAGCAGTTTTAAAAATGTTTTCTTTTACCATCAGTATAATGTATGATTGAAACCACAGCCGACAGATTTTATTCTCTCTTGTGTCATGCTTACTTTCTTGCTGAATCTTAGCTAGAGGCAGAGAAACCATTTTGATAGTCTAGGCAAGAGGCAGTAATGTCCTGAACAAGGGGAATGCCAGATGGGAGACAGAAATGAATGTATTATAGATGTGTTTAGGAGAGATCTGTGGAACTTGATGGTTGATTGGATATGGTTGTGGGAGGCAGGAAGTTGGGTCATAGTGAAGGGGAGGTATCAAGGATGAATCTCAGGATTCTGGCTTAAGCAGTTGAGTGAGTGGTGTTAGTTCTCACTGAGATAGCAAATAGGAAGACAGGTTTGGGGGAAGGTAATAGTTTGCCTATAGATTTGTTGAATTTGGGGTGCCTGGGGAAAATTTGAGAGGGAAGATCTCTGAAGCAGTTTGGATATGTTGGGTAAGGCTTAGGAAGGAGAAAAGGGCTGTAAATACATATTTGATAGTCATTTGTACACATGATTTGAGTTGAAGCTGTAGGAGTGGGTAAGACAGATCAGGGAGGGAATAGATTGCCTACCATGAGAAAAGAGACCTAGGAGAGACTTTTGAGGAACATCTTTATTTTTTTACAGTGGTAGAAGAAGAGCATCCCACAAAGAAGAAGAAAGAAATGGAGAAGGAAAAAAAAATTAATAGGGAGTAAGAAACCCAGGAGAGTGTAACAATACAGAAACAGAGGGAAGAGGATATTTTCAAAAAGAGGGGGGTGTGTTTAGCCATCTCCAATGGCTTTTACTTTCATCAGACAGAATCTTAATTTTTCTCTCAAGTTCCATGTAGTATTTGTTTTAATAAGTATGGCATTTAGATTTGTATTTTTAAGTTGTAACAAGATAATACTTTTGCGTAGTGATTGTCCTCAGCTTTTCATGTTACAATAATTCTGGTTTATATTTATAGACTAAATAAAGGAGGTTAATATTGGTAGGTAGGAAGATAAGTAAAATTATGTTAGTAACTAACTTTGTTTCCCAAGGATATAATTATCTAGTAATATCTATCTTTAAGTCTATGCCTCTAACAATGACTTTAGATTATAACTACAAAATGTGATAGAATTAACAACAAAAAATCCCAAAACATTGGGTACTTGTTGGTGTCAAGAATTTAAGTGGTAAGTAAATGTACAGTAGCTTTATTTATTTATTTATTTATTTATTTATTTATTTATTTATTTATTTATTTTTTGAGCTGGAATCTCGCTCTGTCGCCTAGGCTGCTGGAGTGCAGTGGCGCAATCTGGGCTCACTGCAACCTCTGCCTCCTGGTTTCAAGTGATTCTCCTGCCTCAGCCTCCCGAGTAGCTAGGACTACAGGTGCAATCATGCCTGGCTAATGTTTTTTGGTGTTTTTAGTAGAGACAGGGTTTCGCCATGTTGGCCAGGCTGTCTTGAACTCCTGACCTCAAGTGATCTGCCTGCCTCAGCCTCCCAAAGTGCTGGGATTATAGGTGTGAGCCACCATGCCCTGCCACTGTATGGTAGCTTTGAAAACTCCTGGGAGATTGCATGGTTAATTGTGAGGGAATATGTATGGTTTGAAGAAACCCTTATTTTCTGTTTTTAGGAGTAATGAATCATAGCACTCTTTAATGATTGGTTAGCCAAGCAAATCACAGCACATATTTTAAAACTTCATTTGTTCTATAAAGTAACAGCTATCTCTGAAGTACACTGGAGTTTTTTTTCTTTTTTTAATTTCAATTTTGTGTAGATATGAGGTCTCACTGTGTTGCCTAGGCTTGTCTCGAACTCCTGGGCTCTTGCGATCCACCTCAGCCTCCCAAAGTGCTGGAATTACAGGTGTTAGCCATTGCACCCAGCCTACACTGGATTTCATATGATTTACAATGCCTAAAGATTCAGGTTTTAGGAGTGCTGAATAACAAAGTTATTTAGAACATAGGCAGAATAAGAAAGGAGTAGCCAAGACTCTAGAACTAAAAATCAGTGAGTGGCTTATGAATTTCAAAAATATTTTCATTACTCATTAAACATTAAAATGGTATTTTGAGACAGGTGCTGGGCTAGGTAATGGAGTTACAGAGGAGAACAAGACACATTTTTACTCTCATGGAATTCATTTATTTATTTATTTATTTAATTTAAGATGGAGGAGTCTCACTCTGTTGCCCAGGCTGGAGTGCAGTGGTGCCATCTCAGCTCACTGCAACCTCTGCCTCCCAGGTTCAAACGATTCTCCTGCCTTAGCCTCCTGAGTAGCTGGGACCGCAGGCGCCTGCCACCACGCCTGGTTAATTTCCATATTTTTAGTAGAGAAGGGGTTTCGCCGTGTTGGCCCGGCTGGTCTCGAACTCTTGACCTCAAGTGATCCACCCACCTCAGCCTCCCAAAGTGCTGGAATTACAGGAGTGAGCCACTGTGCCTGGCCAGCTCTCATGGAATTTAAGTTGCAAACAAAAAAATACCAAAAAAAAATCATTGCAGAGTGTGGCAACAACAGGAATTATTTGAAATGGGTGAAGAGGAGAGGCTTCTCTGAGTGGGTGGCATTTAATCAGAAAGCAGAAGGATAAGAGGAGGCCGGGCATGGCGGCTCACACCTGTAATCCCAGCACTTTGGGAGGCTGAGGCCATTGGATCACTTTAGCTCAGGAGTTCGAGACCAGCCTGGGCAACGTGGCAAAACCCCATCTCTACAAAAAGTATAAAAATTAGCCGGGCATGGTAGCATGAGCCTGGTTTCCCAGCTACTTGGAAGGCTGAGGTAAGAGAATGGCTTGAGCCCAAGAAGGGGAGGTTGCAGTGAGCTGAGATTGTGCCACTGCACTCCAGCCTGGACAAAAGCCAGACCTTGTCTCAAAGGAAAGGATAAGAGGAGGTATTTGTGAAAGAGTTGTAGTTAACGGCAAGTTGAAAGCCCTTTGGTTAGGAGTTTGTTTTACATTGAGCAAAGACTAGTGCATAGTGAGGCAGAGGGTGAGTGGCATCAGATGAAGGTGAGCAAGTGGGTAAAATGCCAGATCACAATTTAGTCGTAAATGATATGACACTGAGATTTTATTGGAAGTGTAACAAGCCATTTAATGAGTTTAAGTGTGGAAGTGCTCTGTGGCTTCTGTAAGGAGAATGGACTGGCAGGCTGCAGGAATGTGTAAATAGAAAGACTAGTTGGGCTATTCTAGTTAGGTGAAAGATAATGGGGCGTATTAATGCCCTTTATCTAGATGACCCTTTTCTGATATTTATTCCAATTAGAAATGGAGGTCTGTGTAGTACCCCTGTTTGAATTTTGAGATTAGATAAAAGAGAATGAGTTTGTACCTTACTGTTACTAATACCTTGATGTATGTTTCCATAAAAAGGTCATTAATATACACACACTGAAGACTTTTTAAGGTATGGCATTTCAGTACTTACGGTTTATATGTACTTTTAAAATGATAATGAAATTATGTTAAAGCAGAATGATTTGCATGAACATGTTGAAATGTAATAGAGGAATTTCTATTTTAAAAAGTTATTTATTCAATGGAAATAAAAAAGGATGACTTTCCCTAAGGAAGGAAAATGAGACACTTAGAGCCACTCAAGTTGGCTTGAGACAATTGAAATTTGCGATGTTGGAAAAATTTGTCATTGTTTTATAAAATAGTTTTACACAGAAATTATTTACTTTAGAGATGGCTATTAAGAATTGACTTGAAAAGTAAGGTAAGGCTTCAAAATCTGGTCAGATTAATTTAAATAATATAATAGAATTTTGTTCTTTTTCCCACCTTTTCTCTCACAAGCCTGCAGTCAGCTTAGGGCTCAACTGAGGAAGGATCCATTTGCAAGCTCACTCATGTGGTTGTCAGCAGACCTTAGAACACCTGCTTCCAAGTTAACTCACATGTCTATTGTCAGGCCTCAGGCATCTGGCTGTTGGCCAGAGACATCAGTTTATTGCTATGTGGGCTTCTCTTTTCTATAGGCTCAGAACATAACAGCTTGTTTGCCCCAGAGCAAGATATCTGGACAGTGAGAGAAAGGCCCGCCTTGGACTCCCAAAGTGCTGGGATTACAGGCTTGAGCCACCGTGCCTGGCTCTTAATGACATCTTTTATATTAGCTTATACCATTAGGATAAAATATTTGCATTATTGCTCCTTGATCTGTTTTATCACTATAAACATATAAGACCTTTGTGCTATGTACTTACTCCAGTGACTAGGAGTCTAGTAAACTAGCAGAGTTACCTAGATGACCCTTTTCTGATATTTATTCCAATTAGAAATGGAGGTCTGTGTAGTACCCCTGTTTGAATGGGTCATTTAAAAGTGAATGGATTTATTACTGTTATACTTAACTCAAATTTGTAGAAAAATGCATGCATTTACCCAAGGCAATTTGTATCTTAAATTTAAGTAAGAATCTATCACAGATCTTGACAATCTTGACAGGTGTGTTGTCAACCTAACAAATACAAATATGACCTCATAACAGGATTGAAATAAAAGATTTTCATTAGAATTACATTTTGAATTTGATTGTGTAGAATGATTTTACAGACCATTTTATCCCATTTATTTTTTGTTTGTTTTGTTTTCTTTCATTTATTCAGTGGTGAGTTAGTTACTAGACTATTCTTAAAGGAAAAACTATACACTTTCTTTGTTTCCATAGAATGAAGAATCATGAAATCATAAGTTTCTTGAAGGAAGGAGGTGATTATTTAGAAGCATGATGGTAAAGGGTATTAAAATATATCTGTATCTAGTACCTGCTAGTGTAGTTACTAGTGTTAGAAGTCATCACTGCTGTGGCACATTAAAATGAATATGATGAATATATATTGATTAATGTGTATTCAGTTAAAGGTAATGTAATATCTTCATATGAGCTTGAAGATAAATTTCTTTTGGAGAGATTTTTTTCTTTTGATTAGAAATAGTTTTTATTTCAGTGACGGCCATTTTTAGGCAATTATTTTAAAAGTTTAAAATTTGCTGTATTTCTTTTGTACAAGTATTTAAATTATAATTAGCATTATTAATATTTTTCAATGACTGGCATACTTTTGTTTGTGTTTGGTGTGTCAATAGGTGACAAATGGTTAAAGACTTTTTTTTTTTTGAGATGAAATCTTGCTGTGTCTCCCAGGCACGATCTTGGCTCACTGCAACCTCCGCCTTCTGGGTTCAAGCTATTCTCCTGCCTCAGCCTCCTGAGTAGCTGGGATTATAGGCACCTGCCACTACACCCGGCTAATTTTTGTATTTTTAGTAGAGACGGGGTTTCACTATGTTAGTGAGGCTGGTCTAGAATTCCTAACCTCAGCTAATCCGCCCACCTCGGCCTCCCAAAGTGCTGGAATCACAGGTGCAAGCCACCGTGCCTGGCTGACTTTTTTTTTTTTTTTTTTTTTGGACAGAGTCTCCCTCTGTTGCCCAGGCTGGAGTGCAATGGCACGACTTGGCTCATTGCGACCTCCACCTCCCGAGTTCAAGCAATTCTTCTGCCTCAGCCTCCCTAATAGCTGGGATTACAGGCGCATGCCACCACACCTGGCTACTTTTTGTATTTTTAGTAGAGATGGGGTTATGGGGTTTTACCATGTTGGTCAGGCTGGTCTTGAACTCCCAACCTCAGGTGATCCACCTGCCTTGGCCTCCAAAAGTGTTGGGATTACAGGCGTGAGCCACTGTGCCTGGATGACTTTTTTTTTTTTTTTTTTTTTTTTGGAGACAGAGTCTCGCTCTGTCATCCAGGCTGGAGTTCAGTGGCACGATCTCCGCTCACTGCAACCTCTGCTTCCCAGGTTCAAGCAGTTCTCGTGCCTCAGCCACCCGAGTAGCTGGGATTACAGTCATGCACCACCATGTCCATCTAATTTTTGTATTTTCAGTAGAGACGAGGTTTTGCCATATTGGCCAGGTTGGTCTCGAACTCCTGATCTCAGGTGATCTGCTTGCCTCAGCCTCCCAAAGTGCTGGGATTACAGGCGTGAGCCACCACGCCTGGCCTGGTTAAAGACTTGAGTGATAAAATGAGAATTGTATTGATGCATTTTATCTGAATTCTAACATATTATTAGTCCACTATGGTGGCTTCTATACCAAAATCTAGTGAATGTTAATGACAATGGCTAGTTAAGAAATGATAGATTTTGATCAACTAATTATTCTTGTACTAATATAAAATATAATGATATTGTTTCAGCAAAATGAAATAGCCTGGTGGCTGATATTTTTGTATATTAAAATATAGCAGCCATTATAGTAGACTTTTTAAAATGAAACCATTCTAATGATTTCCTTATGTTTCTGATAATGTGAGAAGTTTCCACTGACATTATATTTAGCAAATTGTTTCCATATTTACTTTGATACGTGTATATATAGTTATCTAGTGAATTTATGCTTTCTTCTGTAGTTCTACGTGTGATAATAATCTCAAATAAAATGAAATAATCTTCTTATTCTGATAGAGAAGAAAAAGCTGGATCACTTACCAGTAACTGGAGTTCTCCTATTGGGTAATCTCCACAGATCCACATTGTTTGAAGTTATTGTGAGTGCCTCGAGGACCAAGGAACCGTTGAAATTTCCAATTTCAGGAAGGTAAGCAAGTGCACTGAAGCATGTCTCTAGCATCTCCCAAATCCCCTCCCCCAAACTTTCTTACATATACGTCTGTACTGCATGCCCCCTCAGTTCCAGTGGATGCCCATCAGGAAGATTCTCATGCTGAACAGAAGGGCAAGAGAGGTGGATCTGTGAGGGAAAAGACCCAATAGGATAACTCAAGTTACTGGTAAGTAATCTAGTTTTCACAAACCTGAGATTTTTTTTCCCCCCAAATTTTGTCCCTTGAGAAGGAGTTTGTTTAATTGAAAAGAAAGGAAGTTACTTGGGATAGCTTCTTTTTGTACATTTGATATGGATTATGGAAATTATTGTGTGGACAGTAAATACTGAGCTATTAATGGGTGTATGAGTAAAAAGTATGACATTAATTTTAAAGTATCTTATTTACGTAATAGCTGCTTCTAAAAAATTATACATTTAGTTGGCCGGGCTTGCTGACTCACACTTGTAATCCCAGTACTTTTGGAGGCCAAGGCGGGTGGATCACCTGAGGTCGGGAGTTCGAGAACAGCCTGACCAACATGGAGAAACCCTGTCTCTACGAAAAATAGAAAATTAGCCGGGCATGGTGGTGCATGCTTGTAATCCCAGCTATTCGGGAGGCTGAGGCAGGAGAATCGCTTGAACCCAGGAGGCAGAGGTTGCGGTGAGCTGAGATTGTGCCATTGCACTCCAACCTGGGCAACAAGAGCGAAACTCTGTCTCAAAAAACAAAAAATTATGCATTTACTGGCTTTGGTAAATGGTTTAGTTGTTCTAAAGCAATATAGGGAAGCCAAATGTTGAATTCTTGTGTACATTTCTTTATGATGTTGCTTTTTTGAAGTAAATACTTATATTGTAAAATTTATGCAGATGTCATATTTGGTGAATTTCTTTTGGCACAGTAGTACTGACCAGCAAGGATAGTTTTATATTAATTGTCTAGCACTTTTTTTTTTTTTTTTTTTTTTTTTTGAGACAAAGTCTGGCTCTATCGCCCAGGCTAGAGTGCAGTGGTGTGATCTTGGCCTACTGCAACTTCTGCCTCCTGGGCACAAGCCATCCTCCCACTTCAGCCTCCTGAGTAGCTGGGACTACAGTTGCACACCACCATGCTTGACTAATTTTTTTATTTTTTATAGAGATGGGGTTTTGCCATGTTGCCCAGGCTGATCTCGAACTCATGAACTCAAATGATCTGCCCACCTTGGCCTCCCTAAGTGTTGGGATTACAGGTGTGAGCCACTGCTCCTGGCCTGACTAGCACTTTTTTTTTTTTTTCCTAGCACTTCTTAATGACAGTTTTCAATGTATCTTGAACTTCATTGAAAGTATATTTGAAAAATAATATAGGATATGTTGCAAGTCTATTTACCGCTTCCTTGTTTGTAATGAAAATACTTGATGTGAATTGTGACAGAATTGGTTCAGTTTGAGCTGCCTGATTTCCTCAGGTACCAAATAACTTATTGAATTGATATTTGTAAATGTTACTATATAGTTTCTTGCTTCTCATTTCTCTCCCACTCATTTTGTATTATTACTAGGTTCTATTTCTAAAAAGGCATTTTAAATATAAAGAGCTCGTAGTGGTGTCCTGCTTATAGCTGTTTTACAAAACTTTCATCCGTTTGCTGGATACTTGAGGCCTCCTGCTATCCAATTCCATTCTGTTTATCTAGCCTTAATTTCTTCAGTTTGAAACTTTTGTTTGTTCTTACCTGCATAGTTATATTTACACTTGGTTTGTGGTTTCTCACTTTCTTCAGATAGCCTTTTCTGCATTCTGATTTCTGTACTTTAGAGTTGAGGCAAGTCTTACCCCTTTTATCAGTCCTTTTATGCTAGTATATTTGTTATCTTCAGTTCTTCAGTAGAAAAGTGGGATGTCTGTAAGACTATTAATTCATGGAATTTATTTAATACAGTACCTTAGCAGCACCCAGTTAATACCCTTATTGGCTAGTGTTTGGCTATAGATTGATCTTAACCATTTTTGTGGTTATAGTTAGCTGAATGATACAGTTTAGCCCTTAAATATTAGCTTTAGGTTGTATTGCTATTTTTAAATTTTAATTTAATTTAATTTAATTTTTATTTTTTAAAATAAAGTGAGACAGAGTCTCACTCGATCGCCCAGGCTAGAGTGCAGTGGCATGATATCCGTTCACTGCAACCTCCGCCTCCCAGGTTCAAGCAATTCCCTTGCCTCAGCCTCCCAAGTAGCTGGGATTACAAGCATCTGCCACCAGGCCTGGCTAGCTTTTTTGTATATTTAGTAGAGACAGGATTTCACCATGTTAGCCAGGTTTTGAACTTCTGACCTCAAGTGATCTGCCCGCCTCGGCCTCCCAAAGTGTTAGGATTACAGGCATGAGCCATGGCGCCTGGCCATATTGCTATTTTTTAAAAATATACAGCTCTTTTTAAAAAATTTATTATTTTATTTTTTACACAGGTATGTTGTGTAATAAAAATATGCAACTCTTAAACTGGGTTTTTAGGTTCTTTGAGAGCAAGCATAGGATTTTATGGTTTATATTACCTAGTTCCTAACATCAGTGACTGAGATTAAATCATCCCCACTGAAATATTAGCTTTTCATATAGATTTATGAATAAACTTACCAGTTTTTTGTTTGTCTTTTTGAGACAGAGTCTCGCTCTGTCGCCCAGGCTGGAGTGCAGTGGCACGATCTCGGCTCACTGCAAGCTCTGCCTCCTGGGTTCACGCCATTCTCCTGCCTCAGCCTCCCAAGTAGCTGGGACTACAGGCGCCCGCCACGACGCCCGGCTAATTTTTGTATTTTTAGTAGAGACGGGGTTTCACCGTGTTAGCCAGGATGGTCTTGATCGCCTGACCTTGTGATCTGCCCGCCTCGGCCTCCCAAAGTGCTGGGATTACAGGCATGAGCCACCGTGCCCAGCCTACACTTACCAGTTTTTTAATGTATAAAGCAGTTTCATTTGGCTCATCAATCTTATTTGTACCATATTTTTTTCTTAAAAACAATTTTTCCCTTTAAAAGCTGGTATAGTGAAATTCTAATTATTTAGTATAATATTATTAATAATTTATCTTGTGGCATATAAAAAGAGTATATAGTTTTGAGAGTATAGAGTAGCTTCACTTAAAGATTTAGTGTTAGAAAACAAAGTGGAAATACAGTATCCTTGATTTTTGCAGTTTGAATATCTTAGAAGATTATTGCTTTCTTTTCAGAAATGAAGGAAGGAAATGCTCTTTGACAGATTGTCTCTTCTAAATAATCATCAGAAAGCAGTTTGTCCAATCATTAGACAAGCCAAGATAAAGAGCATTTAGTCAGATGACTTAAATACTAGTTTTGAATCTACTGCTGCATGTCTTTGTACGATTCTGTTCAATCTCATAGTTTCTTTGGTGTGAATGATATGGTCGTTATATTGAGAGTGCTTTTATTCTTTGGAGAAATATATTGAAATATTCCAAGTGAAGTATCATGTTGGGCTCAGGAGTGGGTTCAGAAAAAAAAGTGTGTGGATATTTGGGTGTGGTGTGTGCAAGTATATGGAGAGAGAGAGAAAAAAGGTAAAGCAAACGTTGTAAATGTTAACAATTTTGAATCTGGGTAGAAGGTATATGGGTCATTGTACTTTCAACTTTTCTATGGCTTTGAAATTTTAAAAAAAGATGAGGAGAAAGTGTTTTAAAGAGAACTTTATTGTGCTTCAATTTCTCCAATTCTAAAATGGGAATAATAGAACTTTTCATGCCTTGAAGCAGGTAGGCACAGTGGGATAACATTTGGCAGAATAGCAGCCAAGAGAATTCCTAAAAAGTGATTTTTTTTTTGTCATTAAAGAAGTGATTTATAATGGAGAACTTTTCAAAGAACAGTTTGTCTAAGGTGATTTAGCTTAAAATTTCAGTTACTTTTTTTTTTTTTTTAATATGGAGTCTTACTCTGTCTCCCAGGCTGGAGTGCAGTGGCGCTATCTCGGCTCACTTCAACCTCCACCCCCTGGGTTCAAGCGATTCTCCAGCCTCAGCCTCACGAGTAGCTAGGTCTACAGGTGTGCACCACCGCGTCCACTTAATTTTTGTATTTTTAGTAGAAATGGGGTTTTGCCATGTTGGCCAAGCTGGTCTCGAACTCCTGACCTCAGGTGATCTGCCCGCCTCAGCCTCCCAAGGTGCTGGGATTACAGGCGTGAGCCACTGCGCCCAGCCAGACGTCACTTTTTTTTTTTTTTTTTTTTAACTAAGAGCATATTGCATTATAATTGAACAAGAACAGTTACTTCAGAAACAATAAATATTTATGTAAAATAACCAATTAAAATCTTGAAAAATATAGCTTGTAATAAAATAACTCAATAAATGGGTAAAATAGAAGATATGACACAGCTAAAGAGAGAAGTTACTGATTTGAAGAAAGAAATGAGTACTCCTCCGGACAAGCACAGAGAAATGCAGAAAAATGAAGAGGTGAAAAATATGGAAGAAAAGATGACACTTAGAGGATAGATTGAGCAGTTCCAATATAGGTCTAATTGGAGTTTTAGAAGAGAGCATACACAGAGGAGTGGAGAAGCAATATTAAAGGAAAAATGATTAAGAATTTTCAAGAATTAAAAAAATGGAAATTACAAAATAATTAGAACTAAATCACAACAAAAGTGTTGTATCAAAATTTGAGGGATGCACAAAAATGGTACTTGGGGATAAATTTATAATCTTTAATGAATGTATTAGATTGAAAGATTGAAAATAAATGAGCCAGCTCTTCAATTTAAAAAACTAAAAAAAGAGTAGAGCCAAAGGAAGAAGAGGAAATAATAAAAATGAAAACAGAATTTGGTGAACTAGAAAATAATCAGCAATGACCGGGCACGGTGGCTCACGTCTGTAATCCCAGCACTTTGGGAGGCCGAGGCGGGTGGATCATGAGGTCAGGAGTTCAAGACCAGCCTGGCCAAGATGGTGAAAGCCTGTCTCTACTAAAAATACAAAAATTAGCCAGGCATGATGGCAGGCACTTGTAATCTCAGCTACTCAGGAGGCTGAGGCAGAGAATTGCTTGAACACAGGAGGTGGAGGTTGCAGTGAGCTGAGATTGTGCCACTGCACTCCAGCCTGGGTGACAGAGCGAGACTCCGTCTCAAAAAAAAAAAAAAAGAGAAGAAGCAGCAGCAAGAAAAACAATGTCGTGATCAGTCAAAGCTGGTTGTTTGCAGTTGATTCCGGAAATACCCAAGAAAAATAGATGAGACTGATAGTCAAATTTAAAAAAGAGGTATAAGTACAACTATAATGGTGATTTTTAAAATTATAAGAAATCGCTAATAATTTATATGTATATAAATTTTAAAAATGAGTTTTATTTTCTAGTGAATTTTTTTTTCAAATTTGTCTATACAAGAAAAAGAAACCAAAAACCATTAAAGAAATTGAAGCTGTAATAAATTTCCCCAAGAGGAATAGGTGGTTTTTTTTTTTTTAATAACAACTTTATTGAGATATTCACATACCATATTATTTACCTGGTTAAAATGTACAATTCAGTAGGTTTTAGTATTTTTACAGAGTTTTGCCAAGAATTACTATAGTCATTTTTAGAACATTTTCATCTCTCCTAACCCTCTATCCTTAGGCATCTACTAATCTTCCTTTTATTTCTGTAGATTGGCCTGTTCTGGACAGTTCATAAAATGGAATTATACAACATGTGTTTTGGGAGGGATTGATTTCTTTCACTTAGCATGTGTTTAAGGTTTATCCGCATTGTAGCATATGTCAGTACACTTCATTCTTTTTTATAGCCAAATAATAATACATCATCGTATGTGGATATACCACATTTTGTTTATTCATTTATCAGTTGATGGATGTTTGTATTGTTTTGCACTTTTTGATTATTATGAATAGTCTTCTGTGAACTATTATAGTCCTGTGTTGTTTGCAGGACTTCCCTCAGATGCTTAAGCCTCTGACATAAAAATGCCACAGTATTTGCATATAACCTATGCATATTCTCCCATATGCATTACATGATCTCTAGATTACTTTTAATATCTAATATAACCCAAGTGCTATGTAAATAGTTGTTATATTGTATTGCTTAGAGAATAATGACAAGGGAAAAAAGTCTGTACATAGTAGAGGCACAACTTTTCCCCCCACATATTTTCAATCTGCAATTGGTTGAATCTATGGATGCAGAACCCATGGATATGGAGCGCTGACTATATATACCTAGGAGTGAAATTGCTGGGTCGTGTGATACTTCGTGTTTAAACTTTTGGGGAACTGCAAGACTTTTTTCCAAAGTGGCTGCATCATTTTATTTTCCCACCAGCAGTGTACAAAGGTTCACACTTTTCTGTAATGTCACCAATGCTTTTCATTATCTTTTTAATTATTGCCTTTCTAGTTTGTGTGAAGTGGTGTCAGAAGGGATAGATTTTTTTTTGTTTGGTTGGTTTTTTTAGAGATGGGGTCTTGCTGTGCTGTTGAGGCTGTAGTGCAGTGCAGTGGCTATTCACAGGCATGATCATAGTGTACTGCAGCTTCAAACTGGCCTCAAGCAATTTCCCTCCTCAGCATCTCAAGTATGAAGGAATAGTTTTAATGGTGATATTTGTAATTATAATTTTAGATATGCTTTTGCGGAACAGCTAATCCCAATCTTATGCAAATTGACTCAGAGAACAGAAAAAGAGGGAAAGTTACCCTACCTGTTTATCAGGCAAGTTTAGCATTTAAATCTAGAATGGAAAGACTATACAAGGGAAAATATATTACATTCAGTCTTACTTATGAACACAGACATAAAAATTTTAATTGGGATAGGAGTTTAGGACAGTTCAATATTTGAAAATTGTATCAATTTATAAGAAAATTTAGGAAAAAATCTAGATAAATTTAGTAAAACTATATGTTAAAACTCAATACCCATTAAAGTTTTAAAAAACCACTCTTACACTATGAACAGAAATGAGCTTTTTTTTTCTTACAGTAAAGGCTACCTTTCAAATAGAAAGCATCATGCTTAATAGTGAAACTTTGGAAACATTCTCATTAAAGCCAAGGGTAAGACAGATATATCTCTATCAATACGCAAAAAAGAAAGAAAATCCAAAAGGATTGGAAAGGAACAGAAATGAGATGAGATGCTCCCTAGAAATATTAAAAGAAATGAAAGTACTGTTTGTATTAATAAAATAATTCAGCGTTGCTGGATACAAGGTCAGCATTCAAACTAGCAATAGCCAATTAGAAAATAAAAAGTATCTCCTTTATATGAAATTCAATATAGTACCCAACATTTTATTGAAGGACATAAAATTAGACATGAATAAAAGGCAGGATATACTATATTTTTGGGTGGGAAGTTAAAATTTATTTAGTAATAAATATTACTGAAAAGTTACTTTGTGAATTTTATGTAGTTTCAGACAAAAATCCCAGTAGGATTTTTTTTTTTTTTTGTGGAAAATGACCTTCCTGTGCAAAATTAAAGGTTCAAGAATAACCAAGATAGTTTTGGAAGAAGAAAAAGAATGAGGAGGAACTTGCTCTGTTGGATGTCAAGATGAATTTAAAAATTATGGTATTTAGCCCCGGGCATGGTGGCTCATGCCTGTAATCTCAGCACTTTGAGAGGCGGAGGCGGGTGAATCACCTTAGGTCAGGAGTTCAAGACCAGCTTGGCCAACATGGTGAAACCCCATCTCTACTAAAAACAAAAATTAGCTGGGCATGGTGGCATGTGCCTGTAATCCCAGCTACTTGGGAGGCTGAGGTGGGAGAATTGCTTGAACCTGGGAGGCGGAGGTTGCAGTGAGCCGAGATCATGCCATTGCACTCCAACCTGGGAGACAAGAACGACACTCCATCTCAAAAAATAGAAATAAAAGTTATGCTATTTAGATTGAAATACTATATACAATGACAAAGAACAAACTGTTATGCATAACATGGGATGACTCTCTCCCAGACTTAATGTTGAATGAAATTAGTGAGACACAAGGATTACGTATTGTATGATTTCATTTATAGCAAGCTCAAAAACAAGTAGAAATAATCTATAGTGATAGAGATGAGAATTGTGGTCATCTTGGAAGCATGGTACTGATTGGTAAGGATCGTGAGGGAGCCTCCTGGAGCATGAGGAATGTTAATAGTTTGGCTTGAGCTGGATCACACACAGGAGTATATGTATTTAAAGGTCAAGCTGTACATTCAGTATTTGTATGCTTTATGTAAGTACCTCTGTTAAAAAAATTATGGCACTTGAAGTATAGTATTAGTACAGGAAAAGACAAACTAATAGAGAGTTCAGAAATGGATTCATACATATTTGGAACATTGGTGAAGGCTAGAAATGGCATTCCTTGGCGGGAGGGAGAGAAAAAGTAGACTGTCGAATTGGTTTTCTAGATGGGGGGGGAAACTAGATCTCTGCTTCAAGCAATACGTGAAAATAAATTCCAGTTGAATTAAATAATACACGTGAAAAACTTTTTTAAAAAGAGGATAGTATAGATGAGTATGCAACTTTAGGATATGGAAGATCTTTAACAAGTCAGGAAAAGAAGAATGAACCATCAAGGTTAAAGACATCAAGGGTAAATGATTTTGTTGCCTCAAAAAGGAAAACTTGAGTTTAATAAAAGACATCAGGCTGGGTGTGGTAACTCATACCTGTAATGCCATCAATCTGGGGAGACCAAGGCAGATGGTTCACTTGAGGTCAGGAGTGCAAGACCAGCCTGATCAACATGGTGAAACCCTGTCTCTACAAAAAATACAAAAATTAGCCAGGCGTGGTGGCACATGCTTGTAGTCCCAGCTACTCAGAAACCTGAGGTACTAGAATTGCTTGAATCCAGGAGGTGGAGGTTGCAGTGAGCCAAGATTGTGCCACTGCCCTCCAGCCTGGGCTCAACAACAACAACAGCAACAGCAACAAAAAAGACATTATAAACCAAACTAAAAGATATGCGACATACCTAGGAGGAGACACACACAATGTCTTTAATATTCGGTGGATTTGTGTCCAGACTATATAAAGATCAAAAGAATAAGATGATACACATAAAATGAACAATGGATATAAAGGCAATTAGCAGCAGAGGAAATGGAATTGGAATGGCTAATGAACTGAAAAGATGCTTAGTCTCATTTGTAGGGAAGTGCAGTTGAAAACGTACGAGCTATCAATTTTCACCCATTAGATTGCAAAGCTTAGGATGGGATGTTACTCATACAGTTGAAAATGTGCATACTCTGTTATCTAGCAGTTGATTACTATTCAAGGTATTAGTCTAGAGAAACTTGAACAGTTGCCCAAGGAGGAATGTACATGGATATTCATTTGGAAAAAATAATCTAAATGCCTGTCAGTAGGAAGGCATGGATAAATAAGATATAGAATAGTTATACAATGGAGAATTACCTACATCTATATTTAGGCTATTATCATTAATTAGTATTTATTTCAACTTAAGAAACTCCTTGTACTTTCTGTGTCTAGGTTCTGTATTGTTTTAAGCCCTTTATGAATCTTAACTGTTGTAATCCTCATGAAAAGTCAGAAAGAGGTACTATCATTATCTTCATTTTGCGTATGGGAATACTGAAATATAGAGGGGTAAATAACCTACTCACTCTCATAGCTAGTAAATAGCAGAGCCAAGATTTGAAGTTAGGATTTGAACCTAAGTTGTCTGGCTTCAGAGTCCACTATACCATGCTACCTTTTGATGTGTATGAATATTGAGATACCTCATAAATATAAGGAAAAGTTCATTTCAGAATGATGTGTACAATGTGATCTAATTTACCCACACTTATGATAGTGGTTGCCTCTGGATGTCATTGCAAGGTGAGGGAGATACACTGATGATGGTGAAAGGAAACTAGCTTTATGGAACTGTATGCTTTTCCTTAAAGGAGATGTATATTGCTGTATAGCTTTTAAAATACTTATATGGAATATAGGTATGTGCTTATTTTTGCAAAAAGAAGCACTGGAAAGATTGACCTTTGTTGTTTTAATCTTCATTTATTCTTGATACTGGTGTATAGTAGAAAAAGAGATTGGCTTGGTTCTGATGTAGTGGAGCAGCAGATAAGCACTAGGTGCTAGGGATAAGAAGGTGAATAGTTTTCAGCCTCTCTCTTTAAGGAGTTCAGCTTTACAGATAAAGAGACAAGGAAAATAATTTTGATTCAGTTGATACATGCAAATCTGTTTTCTTCCTTGTTTCTCTATCCTTGTCACTTTCCCTCCAAATACAAATAGGAGAAGGAGGAAATGTCTTGATTTGGAGCACGGGAAGCAGGCAGTGAAATACTGATGAAGATCCCACTTCTATTATTTTACGAAACTACCAGAGTGTAAACTCTGTAATGGTCAGATGTTATAGCTTCTTCACTATTTTGTCTCCAAAATTTAGTGTAATGCCTTTTGCTTAGTAAACTCCTAGAGATGTTTGAATGCATAACTGATGCACTTTCAGATGTCACTCTCAAATTAAAGCATCTTAACCCAAAAGTTCTCCTTAAACTATTTGAGATGTCTTCCATTGATTCCATTGGTTGTCAGGCACTAAGGTAATTTGACTGAGAACACTGTATAACCTTGAATTGTTATGTGCCAAAGAACTCTGACTTGAGTAATGTTTTAATCTGTAGGAAATGTTGGGTCCCAAAAATCTATTTTATTTTTAACTGTGCTGAGTCTAATACTTTTTTTTTTAAGCTAATAGTCTTTTAATATTAGAATAGTACAGTTGGTTTTCTCAGTCAGTATTACCGTATTCTGTGTCTTTGGTTAGTGCTAGCTTGTGAAACTGTTATGTTCTGTATTTTGAAATTCTTAATTCCCTAAAACCACATTTTCTTCAAGTTTCCTGTTAGGACCATAGACTGTTTCTGGATGGTATTAGTGTTTATAATGTGAGAATTCCAGTGCCTTTTGAAATCTGTTATGGTACTGCATAAAAAGTAATGGTACTATTTCATTTCATCCTAGTGAGAAAGGTGTGTGGATTTTTTGGTGGTAAATTGGAGTCCCATGTATGTGTGATCCTCCCAACAGAGTGAATTTAAATATCTAAAGATTACTGAGAAAGGATAAAGTTGAATAAATCATAGTGAACAATGTTTATGTCACTTTTTAAAGTTTTAACACTTGTAATTGAGTAAATCCTGAAACAAAGTATATTATTATGTTTGATGGATTTAAACTATTGGTCAAATTCTGTTCCATGTGTACATAGTGTTTCTTTCTTACTCTGTAACCCTTTTGCCAGAGATAACAGGAAGAGAGCCTGGTTACCATTTGGTGGAACAATCCTGCTGGCTCAAGCCTCTGCCTAGAAATTTGGGTCATTCTCTTTTTTGGACAGTCTGGTAAGCTGTCACTGTTTTTCACCTTAAAATCATCTTGTTGAAGATGTACCCAAGAGGAAATTAATACTAAAGGAACAAACAATATTAAATTCAACAAAAATGTTAAAATAGTCACATGAAATTAAACACAGCTAGTTTAGAATTGCACTGTAAAGTCTTTTTTTCATATGAAGTATTCAAAATCAGGGTATATTTTACATTTACAGCACATCTTAACTTGAACTAGCCACATTTAAGTGCTCAGTACCCACATGTAGTTGCTGTATTGAACAGCACAGACTTAGAGCATTTGAGAAAACTTTGGTGTTATGTAATTCTGCTGTTACTCTTCAATAAAGGCACCTCAGATGTCTTTTCTTCTTTTATTGCTTCACTTGTTCGTGGGCTCTTATCTTAACTATTAATCAATTGTAGTCTGAAACCCCGCTCTCCATTTCGGAATTTTACAGAGCATTTAGGGCTTTCCATAAGTGTTCCCTGATACCTAGATCTACTTAATTTCTTTAGATAAAATGTGATGTTTCATTCTGATAAACTTTTGTTTTGTTTTGAAACAGGGTCTCGCTGTATTGCCCAGGCTGGAGTGCAGTGGTACGATCTCAGCTCACTGCAACCTGCGCTTCTTGGGCTCAAGCAATTCTTGCACCTCAGCCTCCCAGGTAGCTGGGATTACAGGTGTCAGCCATCAACACTTGGCCAATTTTTGTATTTTTTTGTAGAGACAGAGTTTCACCATGTTGCTCAGGCTGGTCTCAAACTCCTGAGCTCAAAGTGATCCACCTGCCTCAGCCTTCCAAAGTGCTGGGATTATAGGCATGAGCCACTGTGCCTGGCTTCATTCTGATAAGTTTTTAATCAGAATATCAGCTCTGATAAAAAGCAGATCCTCTATGAGGGCTAGAGTAGGTAGGATTATAATTATCATCATCTCCCTAAGGAAAGGCCACTAACTTCTCCTTTTTTGCTTTAAAGTCATTACTCTGAACCAGAAAGATTCCTTACATGATGACTTTTTTTTTTATAAGGTGAGGCCCAACATTTCACTCTATGGGGATTGGATATGCTTTCCCTAGATACTAATTGCTTAGAGGTTTTCAAATTAACTGATTTTTTTTTAACTTTTTTTCCTAGTAGATACTATTTGAGAGTGAACATATTGCAAAGTAGAACCATATCTAGTTTGGTATACCAAGGTATAACATATGTGACTTAATATTTTGATAGTCTGTTGCTTTCATCTGTCCTAGATGAGGGACAGTTTAGAAGATTATTTTCAGTAATTGAGTTTATAACTTCTAATACTAGTTATCCATGTATCCCAATAGCAGCCAAATTTTCTATAATTTATTTCAAATCCTCTCAGACTTTACTCTTGTAAGGTAAGATTATTTGGAGTCTGATTATATAAATGTTAAGATTGTGAGGTTTTTCGGGTTACATGTTTTCTTATGTTGATTATTGTTTAATTTCTACACCCATTCTGAGTGTCTAGTTTTTCTCAGCCTACCTCTTTGTTACACCACCTCTATTCCAGCGGAATCTCACATGCAATTTTAGTTCTTCCCAACCCTGTTATCTGGGCATACATATTATTATTGGGCATTTCCCTACGTAGTTAGTGCAGCGTTTAGCTGTTACTTACCCCTGAGAATATAGTGTGGAATTAGCAGTGGCAGGATATGGAATTAGCAATAAAGTTCCTGGCTTGGAGTTGAAGTGAAGCAAAGAATATTCTTCTTATTCTCCCATCCACTGTGATCACACATTCTATTTAACTTCATTGCCCCTAGCTAGGTGAAAGCTGATAGCTGCTAATTGTGGTCACTGGGGTGTTGGACAAATTTTTGAGTTAGAGGAGGGTTCATAGCCAAAGGAAGAACACCAGTCTAGAAAGAACACTGGGCAGCACGTGGCAGCAGTGACTGCTAACAAGCTAACAACTTGCTAAACAGCAGGCTGGGGTTAGAGCAAAGGAGCACTGTAATAATTTTCTTACTTGTATTTTCTGCGCTCTAGTTTGTTCTATCTGTTGTCATGACACTAATTTTCGAAAAAATTCCCCTTTTAAGCTCATCACTAAACATTTACTGAGGACAATGAAATGTGAAGTACTTTCTGAGAAGTGAACAAAACAGACACTGCCTTCTCAGGTGGTGGTTACTTGATACCCTCCTTAAATCTTTAGTAACTCTCCATTCCTGTTTAAATCTTCACTGCCTTGAGGTCCCAGTCAGACTCATCAGCTTTGTCTTTGAGCTTCAGCAGGATCAAATGACTGGTGGTATCGGTTTGCTCATAGTCTTGTTTTGTTTAGACCCTTCAATGTTAGCCTGCACCATGTTTCAAAGAAATTTAATGGCTATCATTAAAAAATCAAGAGCTTTCACTTGGAATTTTGTATTTCCAACTTCTTTTTTAAAAAGAAAGATGTAGCAACACTTTGTTCATTGCAACAGTTTGCACCATTTAGTTGGGGCTTTTGCTTTCCACAGTCCTTGTTGCCTCTTGGGTTTTTCTTACCCCTGGTCCTCTTTATTCCTTTTTATTACTTATTTAGTCTCTGTAGATAATTCAACTTGCAACTCTTGTTCTAGATAATCTGGTCCCTCACTACTATAAACTTTATTTATTTTCTTTATTATGAAACTTCTGGTATAGCCAAAGGGACATCTTCTTTAACATGGTCCACACTTCTTAACATGGCTTGCAAATCGTTTCATGTACTGGTTCCTGTTTATTTCTTCAGCCTTACCTCTTTCCATTAACCTGTATAAAGTCATGTCCCAGCCATATTTGCCACCCACTTATAGGTGATGTGCTCTGTTCTTTCTGGCCTTTACACACACTCTAATCTCTGGATGCTGTTTTGCCTGTCCTCCCGCTCTTTTTTTTTTTTTTTTTTTTTTTTCCAGATGGATTCTTGCTCTGTCGCCCAGGCTGGAGTGCAGTGGCGTGATCTCGGCTCACCTTACTGCAACCTCCACCTCTTGGGCTCAAGCAGTTCTTCTGCTTCAGCCTCCTGAGTTGCTGGGATTACAGGCATGTGCCACCACACCCTGCTAATTTTTGTGTCTTTAGTAGAGATGGGGTTTCACCATGTTGGCCAGGCTGGTCTCCAACTCCTGACCTCAGGTGATCCACCCACCTCGGCCTCCCAAAGTGCTGGGATTACAGGTATGAGCCACTGTGCCTGGCCTGTCCTCCCATTCTCTGTCTCTGCCCCCGCAACTCCTGCCTTCCACTCTTCCCCACCACCAGTTTAGTTAATTTCTATTCATTTCAATTCTTAATTTAATCAGAAAGCCTTCTGTGCTCCCGTAGGATCTGCTTAGGTACCCATCCTCTGTATTTCCATAGCTGCCTGAATTTAACCCAGTCTCAACACACCATGACTGGTTCGATGGTCTATTCTCTACAGTGTTCTGTAGCCTTTTTGAGGGCAAAACTGTGTCTTCACCTTTGATTTCTAATGCCCATCATAAAATAGGTACATTGTAAATATTTATTGAGTGGATGACTCATTTCTCTAAGCTCTTTTAATAATCATTAATTCTGAGCCTATGTGGTTTCTATTTTACGGAATATTGTTTTCATCCTTTCAACTCTTGTTCATCCTCTAAGCTTGTACTAGGGGACTGTCCCTTACAAGATACTTTTTTCCCTGGCCTGTTTCAGTATCTACTTACCTTTTCCTTCTTTAAATTCTGGTAATACTTTTTAGAAATCTTGTTTTAGTATTTGGCATTTGTTTCCTGTATGTTACTTTAAATTGAAGTTATGTTTAATGCCACAATTTCATTCTTAAGATATTAAAATTTGTCCGTAACCTGTGCTTTACGTGATAGTATATTGCCAGCTAAAATAATATATCCATTGATTAGATCGATTCATGAGTCAAACCTTTATTACTTTCTTGGATATTGTTCCTCATTTACAGAGAACTTGGACATCTAGCCAGGAGTTTTTCTCTCTCTCTAGATTTCTTTATCCATTTTGGACTTCTCCCATAATAGTACTTAGTGGATGTACTTTAATTGCTTGTGTATGTTTCTTGTTTCTCACGCTGAACTGTAAGGGCTGAAACCGTATCTATCATATTAAAACTACCTGTTGGTATAATATTTTAACTAATATTGGAGTTTAGAAGATCTTGATGTACCATGTATACATGTTTGATGTATGTCTATAAAGTGTTGTCAGTAAGCTAGGCGTGATCATCTCATTTATTTACATGTGAACTATTAGAGAGTTACACAGCTTCATTTGTGTGTCTTCTAGACATC
Organism: Homo sapiens; assembly: GCF_000001405.40. Classification (NCBI taxonomy): domain Eukaryota; kingdom Metazoa; phylum Chordata; class Mammalia; order Primates; family Hominidae; genus Homo; species Homo sapiens. The sequence continues at coordinate 42,194,852 of NC_000012.12, read as the reverse complement.
TCAAACTTATGCAAAATTGAACTTATGTATGTTTGCATGTTTTTACCAGAATGTATATTTCATGAGGGGATATTTCCATATACCTGTAATGTAGGGCCTGGACCATAGGTAGTATTTAGTAAATGTTTATTAAGTGAGTGAGTAACTGTACAACACCAAAAAATTTTTATGTTACTGATTTAGAATATTATAGGACATAATTAGATATATAAGAATGGCTTAGATTTATTTATTTATTTATTGTGCAGTGGCACAATCTCAGCTCACTGAAACCTCTGCTTCCTGGTTTCAGGTGATTCTCCTGCCTCCACCTCCTAAGTAGCTGGGATTACAGGCGCTTGCCACCACACCTGGCTGATTTTTGTTTTTTTAGTAGAGACGGGTTTTCACCGTGTTGGCCAGACTGGTCTCGAACTCCTGACCTCAGGTGATCTGCCTGTCTCAGCCTCCCGAACTGTTAGGATTACAGGCGTGAGCCATCCTGCCTGGCCGGCTTAGATTTATTTTACTTCACAACTTGTATCATAGAGCTTGCAAGGCTGGAGGTTGCTCTGGGTGAGTGAGTGAGTAGTGAATGAATGTGAAGGAAGGCCTAGGAAATTACTGTATGCCACTGTAGATTTTATAAACACTGTACACTTAGGCTACACTAAATTTATTTTAAAAATTTTATTTCTTCAGCAATAAGTTAACCTTAGCTTAATGTAATGTTTTTACTTTATGAGCTTAGTATTAATTTTTTTAATGTTTTCACTCTTTTGTAGTGACACTTAGCTTAAAATGCAAACTCATTATACAACAGTACAAAAATACAGGTATTTTCTTTCTTTATATCCTTATTCTGTGTGCTTTCTCCATTCAAAAATTTTTTTACTTTATTACTTTTTAAACTGTTTGTTAAAAATGAAGACACAGACACATACATTAGCCTAGGCATACAGAGTCAGGTCCATAAATATCACTGTCTTCTTCCTCTGCCTTGTCCCACTGGAAGGTCTTCAGGAGTAATAACATGCATGGAGCCGTCATCTGCTGTGATAACAATGGCTGGTCAGACATGGTGGCTCATGCCTGTAATCATAGCATTTTGGGAGGCCGATGCAGGCAGATCACTTGAGCCCAGGAGTTGGAAACCAGCCTGGGCAACAGGGCAAAACCCTGTCTCCACAAAAATACAAAAAAATTAGCTGGGTGTTCATGCATCTGTAGTCCTAGCTACTCAGGAGGCTGAGGTGGGAGGATCACTTGAGCCCAGGAGGTCAAGGCAGCTGCAGTGAACAATGATCACACCATTGGATTCTAGCCTGAGTGACAGAGTGAGATCCTGTCTCAACAAAAACCAAAAACAACAATGCCTTCAGGAATACCTCCTGAGGGCCTGCCTGAGGTTGCTTAAAGTTATAAATACAAGGAATACACTCTGAAATAGCAATAAAAAATATAGTAAATACATAAACTAGTAACAGTCATTTATTATCATTGTCAAGTTTTATGGACTATACGTAATTGCATGTGCTATTTTTTTTTTTTTTTTGAGAGGGAGTCTCATTTACTCTGTCGCCCAGGCTGGGGTGCAGCAGCGCAATCTCGGTTCACTGCAGCCTCCGCCTCCCCAGTTCAAGTGATTCGCCTGCCTCAGCCTCCCGAGTAGGTGGGATTACAGGCATGCACCACCACACCCGGCTAATTTTTGTATTTTTAGGAGAGACAGGGTTTCACCATGTTGGCCAGGCTGGTCTCAAACTCCTGGCCTCTAGTGATCTGCCCCCCCTCGGCCACCCAAAGTGCTGGGATTACAGGTGTGAGCCACCGTGCCCGGCCGGTAGGTGCTATACTTTTATATGACAGGCAGCACAATAGGTTTGTTTATATCAGCATCACTGCAAACACATGAGTACTATGTGATGTTATGACAGCTACTTCACTAGGTGATAAGTATTTGTCAGCTTCATTATCTTAGGGAACCAGTGTCACATATGTGGTTTGTTGTTGACCAAAATGTTGTTATGCGACGTGTGACTATATGCTTAAAAGTAACTTTGCAAAGAACTAGATGTAAACTATGTAACTCCAAAATTGGGTAGGGGAAGAGGAAAACTGATAGTACTACCTTGACCAAAATCTTTAAATCCATTCACTTCTATCTCTACCATTTGTCAGCTACCCTAAGCCACCATCTCTTTTCTGGGCTACTCTAATAGTGTGCTACTTAGTCTCTCCAATTCCATATGTGTTTTAAAAATTAAAATATAATGGAAGTCACTTAACATCCTTAAAAGTATTTCAAGATACTTATTGTACCTAGAATAAAATCCAGGTTGTGTTGTTTTGTTTTGTTTTGTTTGAGACAGGGTCTCACTGTGTTGCCCAGGCTAGAGTGCAGTGGCACGATCACAGCTCACTGCAGCCTTGACCTCCCAGGCTCAAGTGATCCTATCAACTCAGCCTCCTGAGTAGGTGGGTTCACAGGTGTGTGCCACCATGCCCAACTAATTTTTGTGTGTGTGTGTGGAGATGAGGTCTTGCTGTGTTGCCCAGGCTGGTCTTGATCTCCTGGGCTCAGGAGATCCTCCTGCCTCAGCTTCCCAAACTGTTGGGATTACAGGCATGTGCCACGATGCTCAGCCAAAATCTAGGTTCTTTAACATGGCTCATAAAGCCCTTCTTGGCCTGGTCTGCCTATCTCTCAAGTTTTATCTCATGTAATTTTTCTCCATATTCAATATTCTCCAGCCTTACTAAATTTCTTTCAGTTTCTATAACACTTTTTGTATTATTTAAATCTAATTGTATGTTTTGTTTTTTTTTTTTGAGATGGAGTCTTGCTCTGTTGCCCAGGCTGGAGTGCAGAGGCACGATCTTGGGTCACTGCAGCCTCCTCCTCCTGGGTTCAAGTGAGCACGTCTGGCTAATTTTTGTATTTTTAGTAGAGACAGGGTTTCACCATGTTGACCAGGCTGGTCTTGAACACTCCTGACCTCAAATGATCCTCCTACCTCAGCCTCCCAAACTGCTGGGATTACAGGCATGAGCCACTGTGCATGGCCAAATCTTTCTTGATTCTTATTCACCCCCACTCCTGTTAAAACCTCTCATGGTATTGGGCAGGGTGGGGAAAAATGAACACCACAGTTTGTAATTATATATATGTAGCTAATTTTTTTGTTACCCTTGTATTCCTAACACTAAGTGTGATGCTTGGCACATAGTAGGTGCTCAGTGTAAAATAAGTGTATAGCAAAAGAAGGAAAACAAGGAAAAATTCAGAGAAAACATGAAAACAAGACCAAACATGCTTGTTAAAAGTATAAAGGCCCCATGATATAGCTTAGCTATTAAGCAAGATTTACATTAGATTAAATACAAAGCCCACCTATGCACTTAGTGTTTAGAAACACACTAGAACAAAATTACTAGGGGGATTGGAAGTAAATGGATGGTCAAAACAAGATACTAGGCAAATATAAGCAAAAAAAAAGTCAGTGGATTCATATTATTAGAAAAAGTTGAATTAAAAGCAGTAGACATCAGGTGAGAAAAAGAGACACTGATAATCTAGGGTATAGTTTCTAATATAAAGAGGGCCACAGATCTTTACCTTTTAAAGATGAAGCACAAAAGTGTTTAGAGTGAAAACGATATAAATTCAGGGAAGAAGAGAGAGACAGTAATGGGAGTACTTTAAACATTAACAGCAATGGTAGACTTTAAAAACATTTTTCAGTCCTTGCTGCATCAAAGTGATAAAGAAATATGATATAAAGAATCTGAGTCATATAATTTGCCTGTCTGATATATAAGGCTGATGTAATAAATATATCATTCTGTTGTTGTAAAGAGAAAAAAATACTTTTAAATTCCCCTCAGAACATTTTTTAAAATAGGTTATATTTTTAAACATTGTTAAGTAGGTTACATTGTATTATAAAGAAAGCTGAAAAAAAAACTAAAAAGTAGAAATATTATTAACCACATACTCTACAATGAAATTTTAGGTTAATAACAAAAGGGAGAGCCAGAAACCAAACCTTTCCAAATCCCAAAACAAAAACCTCAATTACTTGAATTTAAAAATGTAAAATTATTGTCCCTGAAAAAAGAAAAAACTTAAGTCAAAGGTCTAAAGATACTGCAGACTGGCAACTGTAGTAGAAAATAATTACAATAAAAATGAAAGACATGAATAACATACAGGATACAAATAAAATTATTTCTAAGAATTTCATTACTAGAAAATGAAAACAAACACTCAACAAAAGAATTTAATACAAGAATAACAAAATAAACCTAAGGAAAGCTGGAAAAAGTAATTGGTGAAGATAAGGAATAGTAAATAATGGATTAGAAAACAGAAAAAATAGTTAAGTAAAACAGAACTTGTCCTTTAAAAGTAAGGCTAGCTAGCAATCTTTTTTTAACAAAGGGCAAAACTAGGATTATGAAAAAGAAGTAACTATAGATATAAACAGTATTAACAATTCTTTTTCATTTTATTGTTTATTTTTTTGAGACGGTTGCACTCACTCTGTTGCCCAGGGTGGAGTGCCATGGTGCTGTCACAGCTCACTGCACCTTCTGCTTCCCAGGCTCAAGAGATCATCCTTCCTCAACTTCCAAAGTATCTAGGACTACAGGCTCATGCCACCATGCCCAGCTCATTTCTAAAATTTTTTGTAGAGATGTGGTCTTGCTGTGTTGCCCAGGCTGGAATCAAACTCCTGGCTTCAAGTAATCCTTTGGCCTTAGCCTCTCAAAGTGCTGGGATTACAGACGTAAGCCACCACATCCAGCAAAAACAATCTTAATAAAACGACAAAAGTAAATTGTTATGGCATTGTATAATATATTAAAACAGCATATTTTGATTACAATTTGTCTTCAACCCTTTCAGAATTAAACGTAGCTGCTTTTGCTATTTAGAAAGTATATGCTGTAGTGAATACATACGCTATTGACCTGTTTTCTTGTGCTGATCATTTTTATGTGAATTATTAACAAAATGTGCTTGTCTTAGACTAATTTTCTTCTGATACATGTTATCTGTAGCATACACCATCAATTGGTACTTATGAAACCCCATCTAATATTAGTATTAATACTAATTTAATTAATACTAATTAATACTAATCAGAAATGTAAAATTTCCTAAGATTTTGTATTTGCTGCAAAAAAGGCATATACTATATGTTTTATCTATAATGTATGTATCATAAACATCAGATACATATAGACAATATATGTGTGTGTACCTATGCACAGTCACATATACATATACACAAGTCTAACTGGCAAACTTTCACATTTCTGCTACTGTGCATCATCATGCTCTCAGGCCCCTAATGGTTCTCCTTGCTCCCAGTCTGTCCCTGATGCCCTTGCATTGTAATCGTTGTGGATTTGAAAATGGATTCAGTGTTTTAAACCTTTAATTATAGTACATTTCAAATATCTGCAAAAACAGAGTAGCATTAAAAAATCCTAATAAAGATTGAACTTGTAATAGATAACTGCCTGTTCTTTCTGATTCAAATCCCAGGCTCCAGACCAGTTAATATATCAATCAGAATTCTCCATATCCTGCCTCTAACTTGCCTTTCCAGCTTATCTCTTGTTATAATCTGAGTATGCAGTTGTAGTTGATTATTTACTAGCAGGTTTTCTGAAAAAGATTTGGAAATTTTATACATCTTCTTGAGATGGTGACTTTGCTCATAGTGCTCTCTCTACCTTAATTGCCCTGCTTTTCAGCTCCATCTGTTGAAATTCTACACACACTCTAAGCTCAGTTTAAAAATCATCTCTACAGGAAGGCTTTCCTGACACATTTCCACTCTGATTCTCCCAGTTGTAGGTATAGTCTCAGCATTACCTACTTCTCATATTTATTGAACAAATGCTTGAAAGTATACTACGTTCTGAGTCATTACTGGATTCATCATGTCTGTTTTCCCTACCAAATTGAGACTCCATGATGAGATAAGAACCATCTATCTTCATCTTTTAGTCTCCTCTTGCATTTAGCACAGTGCCTTGCATGTAATAGAAGCTTTGAAGTGAATAGCGTCTCAACAGTGAACTTTTGCTTTTTTTTTGTAAATAGGTTATTACATAATAAAATTGTACATGTGAATACTTAGAACATTTTTTAAATTAAAAAAAAAAATTCTGACTGGGCACTGTGGCTCACGCCTATAATCCCAGCACTTTGGGAGGCATAGGTAGGTGGATCTACATGTGGCCAGGAGTTTGAGACTAGCCTGGCAAACATGGCGAAACCCTGTCTCTACTAAAAATATAAAAATTAGTGGGCATGGTAGTGCATGCCTGTAATCCCAGCTACTCAGGAGGCTGAGGCATGAGAATTGCTTGAGCCCGAGAGGTGGAGTTTGCAGTGAGCCAAGATTGTACCACTGCACTCCAGCCTGGGTGACAGAGTAAGACTCTGTCTCTAAAAAAAAAAAAAAAAAAAGCAAAATATATATATTTCAAAGTTCAGAGCATATAGCTAAGGACAAAGAAGATAATTAAATGATCTTAGAAACCAAGAAATAATGACAGACTAAAATATTTTTGAATACATTGATTTATTCTATTCATTTGATTAGCTCTATTCCCATTCCTCTCCCTTTTTCTCTCTTCTGTATTCCCCTTTCCCGTGCCAGAAACCACTGTCTTTTCACATGTTTTTGGTAAACAGATTTATTACCTATTTTTGTGTGACAAACTACTCCAAAACATTTATTTTCTCATAGTTCCTGTGAGTCAGGAATTTGGGAGCAGCTTAGCTGGGTGGTTCTGGCTCTGGGTTTCTCCTGAGGGTGCAACTAAGATAACAGCTGAGGCTGCAGTTACCTGAAGGCTTGACTCAGCTGGAACATTTTCTTCCAAGACGGCTCATAGGGCTGCTTGAGTGTCCCCATGACATAAGAGCTGGCTTCCCCCAGAGTGAATGATCCAGGAGTAAACAGGATGAAAGTCACAATGTCTTTTATGACTTAGCCCCAGAAATCCCACTTTGTAATTTCTGCAGTGTCCTGGTTATACAAGTCAGCCATATTCAGTGTGGGAAGGCCAAAGGCATGAATGCAAGAGATGTGAGCCTCAAAGAATAAGAACAAATAGTTATTATTTATTAATACTTATTTGTAAGACAATATATTAAGGTATTTTCATGCTATATATATTTTACTCCTCAGAATTACTGTTTTATAAAAGAGAAATGAGGATTTTTACGTAAGTATCAGAGTAGGATTTGAATTCAGGCAATCTGACTTCAGAGCCAAGCTCTTAAACGTTATGCCATTGTATCTCAATCTTTAGTATTCTTGGAACACAAAGAATATAGAAGCACACCACTAATTTTTGTAAGTTTAAAAAAAAAAAGATTACATCTTCAATAATAAAAACAAGGTGGGCTGTAATCCCAGCATTTTGGGAGGCCAAGGCAGGAGGATGGCTTGAGGCCAGGAGTTTGAAACCAGCCTGGGCAACATAACAGAACCCCATCTCTACAAAAATTTTATTAAAAATTGGCTGGGCATGGTAGTGAGCACCTGTAGTACCAGTTATTTGGAAGGCTGAGGTGGGAGGATTGCTTGAGCCCAGGAGTTTGAGGTCACAGTGAACTATGATTGTGCCACTGCACTCCAGCCTGGGTGACACAGCAAAACGCTGTTGGTCAGTCAATCAGTAAATAAATAGAATAATAAATAAATAAAAATATAAAATAGTAATAATAATTAGTACTTAAAATAATCATTATTCATAATAAACCAAATCTGTGAAACCAATATTGTATTATTAGGTTCTATGTAGGGCTCATGAGCTTGAACTATATATATCAAGTTCCCCATTTAGTATGTTTCATTTCCTCTCAATTTCTACTACCTCCTATGCTAATTTAAAATTATAGTTCGCTGAATTGGTGGCAAGCAATGGCTTGCTCAGATAATTCTGAATATTCATATTGAACTTGATCCAGAAATTAAGGATAATTTCCTACTGATGGGTGTTTCTTTTACCCTCAGACCCTTGATGAGCTTTGTCCCTCTAAAATGCTAACAGTTTGAATATTCCAAATTGAGGCATTGGCAAATTTAATACTAATCTGCTTCCTGGTTACTCCTAGTGGGAAAGTTAATTTCTTTTCTTTTTTTCTTTCTTTTTTTCCTTTTTGAGATGGAGTCTTGCTTTTGTCACCCATGCTAGAGTGCAATGGCATGATCTCAGCTCACCGCAACCTCCACCTCCTGGGTTCGAGCGATTCTCCTTTCACAGCCTTCCAAGTAGCTTGGGATTACAGGCACCCGCCACTATGCCCAGCTAATTTTTGTATTTTTAGTAGAGACGGGGTTTCACCACGTTGGTCACGCTGATCTCAAACTCCTGACCTCAGGTGATCCACCCCTCTGCCCCCCTCAGGAAAGTTATTTTCTTGATCAACCCTTATATACCATATTTGATTTTTATTTATTTTTGTTTATTTATTTATTTATTTTGAGTTGGAGTTTTTGCTCGGTCACCTAGGCTGGAGTGCCGTGACACCATCTTGACTCACTGTAACCTCCGCCTCCCAGGTTCAAGCTCCTGCCTCTGCCTCCCAAAGTTCTGGGATTACAGGCCTGAGCCACCAAGCCCAGCCTTTTTTTTTTTTTTTTTTTTTTGAGACAGAGTTTGGCTCTGGTGCCCAGGCTGGAGTACAGTGGCGCAATCTCAGCCACTGCAACCTCTGCCTCCTGGGTTCAAGCAATTCTCTTGCCTCAGCCTCCTGAGTAGCTGGGATTATAGGCATGTACCACCATGCCTAGCTAATTTTGTATTTTAGGGGTTTCACCACGTTGGTCAGGCTGGTCTCGAACTCCTGACCTCAGATTACCCACCTGCTTCGGACTCCCCAGAGTGTTGGGATTACAGGCGTGAGCCACTGTGCCCGGCCCAGCCTGACTTTTTAAAATTAAAAAATAAATTTATTGTATTGTGCCCTATATCTAGAACATTGCAGTAAAGCAAATATCACAACAAAGCAAGTCATACGAAGTTTTTGGTTTCCTAGTTCATATAAAAGTTATGTTTACACCATTCTGTAGTTTGTTAAATGTGTAATAATAGCATTATATCCAAAAACAACAATGTATATACCTTAATTTAAAATATAGCTAAAAAATTCAAATGACCATCTGAGCTTTCAGCTAGTTGTAATCTTTTTGCTGGTGGAGGGTCTTGTCTTGATGTTAATGGCTGCTGAGTGATCATGTTGGTGATTGTTGAAGGTTGGGGTGGCTGTAGCAATTTTTAAAATTAAGACAATAAAGTTTTCCACATTGATTAACTCTTCCTTTCATGAAAGATTCATCTGTAGCATGCAGTGCTGTTGCATAGCATTTTACTCACAGCAAAACTTCTTTCAAAATTTAAGCCAGTCCTCTCAAGCCCTGTTGCTTCTTTATCAATTAAGTTTATGTAATATTCTAAATCCTTTGTTGTCATTTAAACTGTGTTCACAGCATCTTCACCAGGAGTAGATTCCATATCAAGAAACCACTTTGTGTGTTTATCTGTAATAAGCAACTCCTCATCTGTGAAAGCTTGGTCATGAGATTGCAGCAATTCAGTCACATCTTCTTGTTCCACTAATTCTAGTTCTGTTTTTTTGTTTGTTTGTTTGTTTGTTTGTTTGCGACAAAGTCTGGCTCTGTTGCCCAGGCTGGAGTGCAGTGGCGCGATCTTGGCCCACTGCAGCCTTTGCCTCCCAGGCTCAAGCCATCCTCCTACCTCAGCTTCCCAAGTAGCTAGGTCTACAGCCATGCGCCACCAAGCCCAGCTAATTTTTTGCATTTTTGGTAGAGACAGGGTTGCGCCATATTGGCCAGATCTGGCCTTGAACTTGTGAGCTTAAGTGATCTGCCCTCCTCGGCCTCCCAAAGTGTTGGGATTATAGGCGTAAGCCACCACACCGGCCTAATTCTAGTTCTCTTGCTATTTCTACCACATCTGCTGTTACTTCCTCCACTGAAATCTTGAACCATTCAGTCATCCATGATAATTGGCATCAACTTCCACCAAACTCCTGTTCATGTTGATATTTAGACCTCCTTCCCTGAGTCACAAATGTTCTTAATGACATCTAGAATGGCGAAGCCTTTCCAGAAGGTTTCAATCTACTTTGCCGAGATCCATCCAAGGAATCACACTATCTGGCAGCTATAGCCTTATGAAATGTATTTCTAATATAATGAGACTTGAGGGTCGGGCGTGGTGGTTCATGCCTGTAATCCCGGCACTTTGAGAGGCTGCGGTGAGTCAATCACCTGAGGTCAGGAGTTTGAGACCAGTGCGGTCAACATGGTGAAACCCTGTCTCTACTAAAAATATAAAAATTAGCCAGGCGTGGTGGCACATGCCTGTAGTCCCAGCTACTCAGGAGACTGAGGCAGGAGAATCGCTTGAACCTGGGAGATGGAGGTTGCAGTGAGCCGAGATGGCACCACTGCACTCCAGCCTGGGTGACAGAGCAAGACTCTGTCTCAAAAACAGTAATAATAATAATAAGTCTTTAAAGTTGAAATTACTCCTGGATCTATGGGGCTGCAGAATGGATGCTGTGTTAGCAGGCATGAAAACATTAATCTCCTTGTACATGTCCCTTAGAGCTCTTGGGTGACCAGGTGCATTATTAAAGAGCAGTAATATTTTGAAAGGAATCTTTTTATCTGAGCATAGGTCTCAATAGTGAGCTTAAACAGTGAGCTAAATATTTTAAATTCAGGTCTTAACGGTGAGCTGAATATTTTAAATTCAGTACACTATGCTGTAAACAGATGTGCTATCATCCAGGCTTTGTTGTTTCATTTATAGAGCACAGGCAGAGTATATTTAGCATAATTTCAAAGGGTCTAGGAATTTTGGAATGGTCAGTGAGCATTGGCTTCACCTTAAAAGTTACCAACTGCATTAGCCCCTAACAAGAGAGTCAGCCTGTCCTTTGAAGCTTTGAATCAAGGCATTGACTTTTCGTCTCTAGCTCTGAAAGTCCTAGATGGCATCTTCTTTCAATAATGCTTTTTTGTCTACATTGAAAATCTGTTGTTTAGTGTAGCCACCTCTATCAACTCTCTTAGCTAGATCTTCTGTATAACTTGATGCAGTTTTTATATAAGCACTTGCTGCTTCACTTTGTAATTTTTTCATGTGAAGGTGGCTTGACTTTTCTGCAGCTTCCTCACCTCTTTCAGCCTTCATAGAATGGAATGGAGTTAGGGTCTTGCTGTGGATTAGGCTTTGGTTTAATGAAATGTTGTGACTGGTTTGATCTTCTATCCAAGCTGAAACTTTTCTCCATATCCCAGTAGTAAGGCTGTTTTGCTTCCTTATCATTTGTGTGTTCCCTGGAGTACCATTCTAAATTTCCTTCGACAGCTTTTCTTTATAGTCACATCTTAGCTAACTGGCACAAAAGGCCTAGCTTTTGGTCTGTCTCGGCTTTTGACATGCCTTCCTCACTAAGCTTAATCATTTCTAGCTTTTGATTTAAAGTGAGAGATGTATGCCTCTTCCTCGCACCTGAACAATTATTAGACACCATTGTTGAGTTATTGATTGGCCAAATTTTAATATTATTGTGTCTCAGGGAAGAGGGAGGCTCAAGGAGAAGGAGAGACAGGGAACAGCTGGTCAGTGGAGCAGCCAGAACACAAACACTTACCAATTTAGTTGACTGTCATATACAGGTGTGGGCCTTGGCTCCTCAAAACAATGACAGCAGTAACATCAAAGATCACCAATCATAGATCACCATAACAGATATAATAATAACGAAAACATTTTATGAATTACCAAAATGCGACACAGAGACAACTTTTACATGCTGTTGGAAAAATGGCGCCAATAGCCTTGCTGAGCACAGGATTGCCACAAACCTTCAATTTGTAAAAAGTAATAAAGTAATGCACAATAAAATGAGATGTGCTCTTGTGTTCATGCTATTCAAGATTTTCATTGTATGTCCTGATATGGATATCACTTGAGCAGTGGTCTAGAAATTATATATGATCATTTAGGATGCTTTCTGTTTCTTGAAATGTAAATTCTTTTTCCTGCAATAGCCAGTTTATATTAAGATGGAAAATTCAATATATTCAATAATGTTTTCTTTCTGTGGAAAAAACATTACAACCGTTCTGACCTCATTGAGTGTGGGAAGTGTATTTTTGATTGCCAATTACATACTGAGGTTTAAAGCAACATGAAGATTAGGCAATCTTTTGCAACCTCTTCTATAACTTTGTATCTACACAGGTAAAGTTGTGATTCCAGCTCATCTTTTCCAATGATATTGTAGTTCAGTTTATGTTATAGTTTCACTCTACTAGAAATAACTTTTCTTTCAGTTTTGATGTAAGTGATAAAACAGAAGTCATTGTTCACGTCTTTCTCAAATAGATTGTCTGTAATTACATAACAAGCTGATTGATTTTTTTTTCACATTTGTGTTTTGTTCCAACTGTAAAGCAAAAATACCTGTTACCATGTAATAGTGTTAACTCTTCTACATTGCATGCTATCAGCATTATAAAATACCCGGCCACATCATATGTTAACAGAATTTCATGCCTTCTGCTTCCTCGTCAAACATATCATGAACTTTGTGAATTTTTTAAAAACCTTCTTTATAATGTTTTTATATTGTAAATACAACTATAAATGATGCTTTTGTAGTTTTAACCTTCTTTTTTTGTGAAATAATTCATCAGTTTACACAGAAGAGCATATTTTGCCCTTGTTTTATAAAACCTTACTTTGTTTGGCAGAGAGGTACTTTCATGTTGAAAATTATTCAAAAACTTTGATGTTTCATGCCACTATTTGAAAAAAGATTACACTAGGTAACACTGGCCACTAGAAGCAAAAGGATGTTAAAGAACATCCTTTTGTTTGTGAAACAAGCAAAATGTAAAATGTAAAAAACTGTTAAAAAACAGTTTTCAGATACTTATTACTACGCTTCTCATTCATACTTTTCTAGGTACTTGGCATAGACATCACAGTTATAAATTCATTTACCCAGTTCATACTGATTGACATTCCACATTCCATTGAAGCCTTGTTTATTGTTTGCTTTCACAGCATTATTTTGAATTCTGGCATCTGTGAATTATTTTCATCTCTGCTTTTATGAGTTAAAACAATTTTTATGAGTTTGAATTATTTATTACATAAGAACAGCAGGGTTTCTGTGAAAAATCATAATTACCTTTTAAGTTTATGATTATACCAGGCTACCTGTAGAGCATACAATAGACTGACAGAGCCCACTATTGGTATAGAGACTGTGCTTTGAGAATACTGCAGTAAGCTGTTCCCGGAGCAGTTATTCAAAGAGCCACAGATCTGATCATTACGCAAGAAGTAACAGCTCTGGCTGGTAAAAGGCAGTGGAGACACAGGATGAAAGGGGCAATAATACTACTGCCTGACTATGACTCTTAAAACCAGTGTCTTACCAGCACCAGGGCAGGAAGTAGAGGGAAAGCAGTAGGAGAAGTAGTAAGGAAAGAGCACAGAGTAAACTGTGTAACAGGAATAAGCACACATTAAAATGAACATCACAAAGAAGTGAAACACCAACTAGCACAGTTGTATTAGAATGATAAGTGAAGGGCAAATCAAGTATTATTTACTTCAGTAACCTCAAACAAAGGACAGCTTGTCCCACTCTGAATGTGCTGTAACCTAATGGATGATTTGTTGCAGTCCAGTGTGAATTAACTGAGTGCCATAACTTCTATGTAATATATAAAGATTCAGTTGCCCAGAGCTAGGTGTATCAAAGAAGCCATCCTCCCATTATGGGCACCAGATTTTCTGTAGTGAAGAATGGCATCTCAGTATTTTTTTATTTTTATTTTTTTGAGACAGTCTTGCTGTGTCGCCCAGGCTGGAGTGCAGTGGCACAATCTCAGCTTACTGCAACCTCCGTCTCTTGGATTCAAGCGATTCTCATGCCTCAGCCTCTTGAGTAGCTGGGATTATAGGCACGCACCACCACATCCAGCTAATTTTTCTATTTTAGTAGAGATGGGGTTCTGCCATGTTGACCAGGCTGGTCTCAAACTCCTGGCCTCAAGCGATCCACCTGCCTCAGCCTCCCAAAGTGCTGAGATTACAGGCGTGAGCCACCTGTGCCTGGCCTCAATACTTGAAATATTATAGTATAAATACATATATTAGTTACCTACTGCTGCATAACAAATTACCCGGAACTTAGCTACTTACCGACATTTATATCTCACAGATTTCTATGGATAAGGAATCTAGGTACAGCTCAGCTGGGTCCTCTGATTCAGGATCTCCTGATACAAGGCTGCAGTCAGCGTTGTGGCTGGGGCTGCAGCTCTCTCAAGGGTCCCGACAGGAGGAATCACTCACTTCCAGGCTTATTCAGGTGGCTGTTGACCTCAGTTCTTTGCTGGCAGTTGGACCTAGGACATTAGTTCCTGATGACCTGTTGACCAGAGGCTTCCCTCAGTTCTTTGCCACATGGGCCACTCTGTTAGGGGAGATCACAACAAGGGGAGAGAGTGAGGGTAGAAGCTAGAGTGTTTTAGTAAGCTAATTTTGGAAATGACATCCAATCGGTTTTTGCTGTATCCTATTTATTAGAAGCACCTCACTAGGTCCAGCCCACATGTAGGGAAGGGGTTTGGATAAGGGCATGAATACCAGGAGGCAGGGATTACTAGTGGCCATTTTAGAAGGCTGCCTGCCACAATAAACATTTTCATGAGTGACTAAGTTAATGAAACAAATGAAAGAAACTTAGGAAAAATACTTTGTACTAGTAAGTCCTCCAGAATTATAGGTTGCAGAAATGGAAGCTGAATTGTAAAAGAAAAAATTAATACCTAGAAAAGACTTATTTTAGCTAAAACTAGGCATGGTTTATTAGTGAGTATACTATCAGTCTATCCATATCATAAAGAACTATTTGGAAAATTGTTTTCTGTGAACTCTAAATCAAATAACATCTTTTAATACTACTGATTTCTTTTTTTTTTTTTTTTTTTTGCCTTTTAGACAGGGTCTCACTTCATTGCCAAGGCTGGAGTGTAGTGGTGCAGTCATGGCTCACTGCAGCCTCAACCTCCTGGGCTCAAGCAATTCTCCCACCTCAGCCTCCCAAGTAGCTGGGTGGCACGTGCCACCACGCCTGGCTCATTTTTATATTTTTTGTAGAGATGGGGTTTCACCATGTTACTAGGCTGGTCTCAAACTCCTGAGCTCAAATGATTTGCCCACCTCAATTTCTATTTTTAGAAAACTTAGACCTTCAGATTTGATGTGTTTCAGTCACTGGTTCCCAACTCTCATTGCACATTGTTATTATTGAGGTGGAATCTCGCTTTGTTGCTGAGGCTGCACTGCAGTGGTGCAATCTTGGCTCACTAAAACCTCTTTCTCCTGGGTTCAAGCGATTCTCCTGCCTCAGCCTCCTGAGTAGCTGAGATTACTGGCTCACGCCACCAAGCTCTGCTAATTTTTGTATTTTTAGTAGAGACGGGGTTTCACCACGTTGGCCAGGCTGATCTCGAACTCCTGACCTCAGGTGATACAGCCACTGTGGCCTCCCAGAGTGCTGGGATTACAGGTGTGAGCCAATGCACCCAGCCTCACTGCACATTAGAATCATCTTGGAAACTTCACAACTAAACAAATAAGAGGATACTGGGCTCTATCCCAGTCTAAGTAAATCAAGTTCTTAAAGGTGGAGCCCAGACAAGTGTATTTTTTCTTTCTTTTTGAAAGAGAGAGGGTCTCGCTTTGTTTCACAGGCTGGAGTGCAGAGGCATAGTCATAGCTCATTATAACCTCAAACTCCTGGCCTCAAGCTGTCCTCCCGCCTCAGCCTTCTGAGTACGTAAGACTACAGGCACGCACCACCACACCTGGCTAAAGGGGTATTTTTTTTTTAAAGCTCCTCAGATGATTCCAATATGTCGCCAGGGTGTTAGACACCACTGATTTAAGTGGTTCTTAATAAAAGATTAGAATTATGCACCCTGTCTCTGGTTTAGTACAAATTGAAAGGGCACATAATTTTATAAGCAAATTTTCTTCATTTAGCATGTATTCAGTATCCAGTATGTGCATAACACTTTGAGGGTTAAAAAGAAATATAAGTAGTTTGAAAGTGGTGCTGACACATTGGACAGAAGATTTTTTTTTTATTTTAAAAAATAAAAATGAAAATGGGAGCAAACTGTATTTGATGATATAGTTATATATGTATTTATAATGATTATTTGTCATAGTCTACATAGGCTGTAGTGTTTTAGAGAGGGGAGAGATGACGATAATACTAGAGTAGATAAGGTTATTTGGAAAAGATGGAATCTTCAGTGGATTAGGAAAGCAAAGGTGAAATGTAATAATTTGCTTCACCTGGCAGATCCTGATTTGATCTTGTTTTATAGGCCATTGACTGCACAATAGGAGCAGCCCAGGAGATTTGAAAAATAACCTGTACCAGGCTTCATTCCTGGAGGTCTTTTATTCAATTGGTCTGGGTGGGGGCCCAAGTATAGTAATTTTAAAAGGACTCCTTGTGATGCTAATGTGTAGCCAGGGTTGAAAACAAGTGCGATAGGATCACAGATCCCTGGAAATTTTTTGTAGGATGGTTTAACGTTCATTCATTAAAAACATTAAATATTTATTTTTCTTTATTGATACAAAATAGATGTACATATTTTTGCACATTAAGTATTTTTATGCTGTAGGCACAGGAGAAACAGCAGTGAACAAAATAGAAGAGGAAAAAGTCCCTGTTTACAATTAGGGGGGTGGTAGGGAGCCTATATTCTATTCTGGTAGAGGAAAACAGATGATAAACTATTAATAATAATATGTAATGTAGTAGGTAGAGAAGTGCTTTGAAGAAAATAAAGCATAGTAAGGAGGATAGAGTAGGGAGTGAAGTTGGAGAGTAGAATGCTGTTTTGTGTCAGATTAAGAAAGACTTCTCCTACAATTATGGTCTGGCATTCATATACAGTAAAAAAAGAATAAAGTAAAAAGGAAGACTTCTCTGACATTTGGCGTTTGAACAGAGACCTGGAAGAAGTGAGGGAGTGAGTGGGCAGAGGAACAGCAGGGGAAACCCTCGGGCAGAAGTAGAAAGCCATTGATGCAGGATGCTGTGGACTCAGTTGCATCTCTCCAAAATTCACATACTGAATGAAGCCCTCACCCCCTATGTGACTGTATTTGGAGATAAGGCTGGTAGGAGGCAATTAAGATTAAATGAACTCGTAAAAGTGGAGTCCTAATCCAGTAGGATTGGTGGCCTTGTAAGAAGAGGGAGAGGTTTGTCGGTCTCTCCCTGTGCATGCACTGAGGAAAGGCCTTGTGAGGACACAGTGAGAACATGGCCGTCTGTAAGCCAGAAGGAAATGTAAGTAGAAGAGAGCCCTGAGTAGAAGCGGAACCCTACTGGACCTTGGTCTTGGACTTTCCACCCTCCAGAACTGTGAGAAAATAAATATCTGCTGTTTAAGCTACCCAGTCTATGGTATTTTGTTATGACAGCCCAAGCAGACTAAGACACTGGAATAATGGGTGCCATATAGAAGAGTATAGAAGATCAGATAGGAAGAGCCTATATCACATAGAGACTTGTGGACTAGAGCAATAATTTTGGATTTTGTTGATTGCCATATACTCTGGTTGCCAGTGAAGGGGATTGATTGGGTGGAAAGGAGGAGCCCATTGGGTGGTTTTAAGCAGAGGAATAATATAATTTGATTTACATTTGGAAGGATCACAGTGGCTGCTCTGTGGAAGAATGGCCTGTAGCAGAACAATTGAGGGATGTTATTTATTTATTTTTTGAGACAGAGTTTTGCTTTTGTTGCCCAGGCTGGAGTGTGATGGCGTGATCTCGGTTCACTGCAACCTCCCCCTCCTGGGTTCAAGCGATTCTCCTGCCTTAGCCTCCCGAGTAGCTGGGATTACAGACGCCCAGCACCACGCCTAGCTACATTTTTTTTTGTATTTTTAGTGGTGACGGGGTTTCGCCATATTGGCCAGGCTGGTCTTGAACTTCTGACCTCAGGTGATCCACCCACCTCAGCCTCCCAAAGTGCTGAGATTACAGATGTGAGCCACCATACCTGGCCGGGATGTTATGAAGATATTACAAGGGTGGTATCAATGGAGGTGGTAAGAAAGCATTCAATTTTAGACTTATTTTGAAGGTGGGGATGGAAAGCATTTGATGGTGACTTAGATGTGAGTATGAGAGGAAAAACGGAATAAATACTGCTTCTAAGTGTTCGGTCTAAGCAACTGGAAGAATGAAGTGCTAGTTACTGAGAGATAAAAAGATTGTTGAAGATTGGAAGAGTGGGAGAAGGGAGAAATCAAGAGTATATTGTTGGTTGGGCATGGTTGCTTACCCCTGTAATCCCAGCACTTTGGGTGGCTGAGGCAGGAGTATCACTTGAGGCCAGAAGTTTGAGACCAGTCTGGCCAGCATGGTGAAACCCCATCTCTATTTAAAATACAAAAATTAGCTGGCGTGATGGTGCACTCCTGTAGTCCCAGCTACTCATAGACATCCAGGTGGATTTTTTTTTTTTTTTTTTGAGACAGAGTCACACTCTGTCACTTGCAACCTCTGCCTTCTGGATTCAAGTGATTCTCCTGCCTCAGCCTCCTGAGTAAGTGGGATAACAGATGCACACCACCACGTTTGGCAAATTTTGTATTTTTAGTAGAGACGGAGTTTCGCCATGTTGGCCAGGCTGGTCTTGAACTGCTGACCTCAAGTGATCCACCCGCCTTGGCCTCCCAGACTGCTGGGATTATGGGTGTGAGCCACCAAGCCTAGCCCCAAGTGGATATGTTAAGTAGGTAGTTGGTTATAGAAGTCTGGAGTTTATGGGAGACATTGGGGCTGATAAAATTTTAATATCTGTGTATAGATCAATTGTTTTCAACCTTGAATACACATCAGCTTGAGAACTTTCAAAAAATTTGAGCCTACAGATCCTCATTTAAGTGGGACCTAGGTATTCCTGTTTTAATTTTTTTTTTTTTTTTTTTTTTTTTTTTTTGAGACAGAGTCTTGCTCTGTCGCCAGGCTGGAGTGTAGTGGTGCGATCTCGTTGGCCAGGATGGTCTCAATCTTTTGACCTCATGATCTGCCCACCTCGGCCTCCCATAGTGCTGGGATTACAGGCGTGAGCCACCGTGCCTGGCCTCCCGTTTTAATTTGATTAGTAGTTAGGTTAAAAAAATTTTAGACAGCTTTTTTTTTTTTGAGGTATAATTGACATACAATAAACCACACATAAAACATGCAATATGTTAAGTTTTGACATATGAATATACCTGTGAAACTATCACCACAATCAAGAGAGCAGACACACATCCATTATTTTCTGGAGTTTCTTTGTGCCCATTTTTAATTCCTCCCTCCTGTACCTACCCCCATCCCATCTCTGGTTGCTAGGCAACTACTGATCTGCTTTCTGTCACTATAAATTAGTTTGCATTTTCTAGAAATTTATGTGAATGGAATCATACAGTGTGTATTTTTTTGGTCCAATCTCTTTCACTCGGCATAACTCCTCTTGAGTGTCAGTGGTTCATTTCTTTGTGTTGCTGAGTAGTATTCCATTGTATGGATGTACCACAGTTTCTTTATCCATTCACCTGTTGATTAACATTTGGGTTATTTTCAGTTTTGGGCCATTACAAATGAAGTTGCTATGAACATTTGTGTACAAGTTTTTGTATGGACATATATTTCCTTCTTTGAGTACATATATTGAAAGGGAAATGCCTGGATGTTATGGATCACATTGTTTTCATATGTTTCAATGTGAGGGGTTTATGTATGCCTTTGAGGAAAACTTTGATGCATAGAAAAGATTATTCAGGGACTACTTTCATTATTAAAATTAATGTTCATTACTTTCAATGTCATAATCTAGTTTTTCCTTAAGTGTTATTTTTACAAATATTCTATTTATAAAATTTAGCAAAATTTAACTTTTGCTTTCTAGTCATATTTTTAAAATGCCATTGCAAGTGAAATCCAATGTGGAGCCAGGGTCGAAAACCATTGTACAGATGATACTTAAAACCGAGGACTGAATGAGGTCAACAAGAGGAGTGCTTTTAGCATGCATAAAAAAATCACCCTAGTTCTAGGGCAAGGCCTGAGAATTTGCATTTTTAAGAGGTACCTGGTGTTGCTACTCTTCATTCGTTGACTACACTTTTTGAGTAGCACTGGTCTGGAGGGTTAGCGTAGATAAGAGGTATCCAAAGACTCAGTCCTGAGGTACTCTGAAGTTTAGAAATTTGGGACACTGGAAGGGAATCAGTAAATGAAACTGTGAAAGAGTAGCCAGTGAGGCAGGAGAGAAATGTGAAGAGTGTGGTGTCCTAGAGGCTGAGTGAAAAAAGTTTTTCAGGAAGGGAAGGAGTGATAAACTCAGTGAAGTGTTGCTGGAAAAGGCTAGGATGACTACAGTTGACTGTTGGTAAAGTGGTTATCAGTGACCTTGAAATAAATAATTTTGCTGGAGTGGAAGGACAAGAGCCTGACTAATGTGAGCCTGAGAGAGAGTGGGAAAAGTATAGAGTGAGTATAGAAAATTTTTTTGAGGTGTCATGGAAAAGAAAACAAATGGGGCAGTGGCTAGACAGGGATGTAGACTCAGGAAAGAGTTTTTTTTTTTTTTTTCTTTTTGAGGTATGAATTATTGAAATATTTTGTATGCTGACAGGAATAACCCAGTAGAGAAGGAAATATTGTTTAAGCAGGAAACAAAGGAGGTCAGTGGCAGGAGTGTGTCCTGGAGAAAGGGATCCAGTGGGCAGAGAGATGGATGGTTTAATTAAGAGTAAGGGTAGGGAAGTCAGACTATGTCGGTACAGATGGAAGGCTGTGGACATTCTAATCGAATAGCTTCTCTTTTCTCTGTGAGATAAGAACTAAGGTCACCCCCTTGATAAAATAGCACATGATAAAAGCAAGTTTTGTTCAGTGCTCTCTTCCCAGTACTTAGAACAGTAATTGGAATATTTAATGGAACATAGTAAATGCTTAATAAATATTTGTTAAATAAATTAATGGAAGCAAGAGTAATCTTGGATTGGAAAGGAGAAGGTGCTGTAGAAGTCTGTTGGGTTAAGCTAGAGTAGTATTAGTGGGTATGATAAAGAGGAACAGTTGGAATAATATGAAAGAAAAATGGAAAGGGCTTAAATGTTTAGTTGGCTAAGAGGAAGGGAAAGTTGAGAGTGACCTATTTGTAGTCTTGAAGATTGTCCTTAGTCTTTCAAATTAAGTGAAAAGCAAATGCCAAACTGTCGTGTCATTTAATGATTTGAGAGGCTTTGCTGAAAACTTTAACCTAGTTTTTATAGAAATGATGTAAGTAATCTGTTTTGTCTGTGCTTACCAAGGACTATCTTAGTATTTGTCAAGGAATCAAGTCTTCCTGGTACCACCTGCCAGGAGTTGGGGGAAAATTGTGTTCTGGTCTGCTGC
Source organism: Homo sapiens (assembly GCF_000001405.40). Lineage (NCBI taxonomy): Eukaryota > Metazoa > Chordata > Mammalia > Primates > Hominidae > Homo > Homo sapiens. The sequence goes on along the minus strand of NC_000012.12, from coordinate 42,173,290 downwards.
AGAAGTGTTTGCTATTGAAAATTAAATACATATAGACCGTGGAGCCCCGTTTGTGACTATAGTCTTAGCTGCTCAAGAGGCTGAGAAAGAAAGATCTCTTGAGCCCAGGAGTTTGAGGCTGCAGTGTCTATGACTGTGCCATTGCACTGCAGTCTGGGCAATAGAGCGAGACCCCATCTCTAGTATTTAGAAGAATTTTTACTCCAGACTCTCTCTTTCTCTCTCTCCCTCTCTCTCTCTCTGTCTCTCTCTCCCTCTCTCATGTCCATTTGCAGTTACTCTCCATTTTGTTCCTTAATGTCCTAACCCTGAGCAACCACAGGTCTACTTCCTGTTTCTATGAATTTGCCTATTTTGGACATTTTATATAAACAGAACCATGCAAGAATATGTGGTCTTTAATGACTGGTGTTTTTCACTTAGCATAATGCCGTAGGCTCATCCATGTTGTAGTATCTGTCAGTATTTCATTCCTTCTTTATGGTGAAATAATATTTCATTTTATGAATATACACCATATTTGATTTATCCATTCATCAGTTAGTAAGCATTTGGGTTGCTTCCGCTTTGGGGCTGTTAAGGATAATGCTTCTGTGAACATTCATGTACACATTTTTGTGTGAACATATGTTTTCATTTCTCTTGGGTATGTACTTGATTTATTCACTCCTGTGCAGACTTCAGAATAGCACTTCTGCTATCTCTGGGCTTCTGTATTTTTCAAACCTTTTAAATATGTTACCAATTAGGAATGTTGTAGCCCCTGCCCTAGTCGCTTAAAAAAAATTCAGGTCTCATGTTGGCTTATATAAAATTGTATGACATCTAAATTCATCCACCACTGTATCACACATGCCTCAGCTGAAGCATATTTAAGAAGGCTCTAGCCCATCTGCTGATGGTACATGCTGTCATTGTGGCTTAGTAGCCAGGTAGATGGATGCATATAAGAGATTTCAAATTATAATAATTTATAATTTTGTACGACTTCTGTCCTTTATTATGATAAAAATGTAAGTGGTTACTAACTACTGTTAATGATGCAACTTTAACTCAAAAGTCCTTGTATCTTTCTTTCAAGCTTCTAAATTACTTTAATTGAAGAGCTTCCCAAGATTCAAGGTGAATTTAAAGTTAAAAGATTGTCATTTGTAAGTACTTAACTGTGTGAATAAGGATTTTCCCAGCATTGCACAACTAAATCAAATATAGAAAGAGCATAGAGCATTGGAAGAATAAAAAACAGATAGCATTAATGTTTGAAATGTAGTTAGAGGCTGGTTTGTTGAGGAGCCTAAATACTTGTTTTTAAACTCTTTTTTTGTTTGAGACAGGGTCTCCCTCTGTCTCCCATTCTGGAGTGCAGTGGAACGGTCATGGCTTACTGCAGCCTCAACCTCCCAGGTTCAGGTGATCCTCTCATCTCAGCCTCCTGGGTAGCTGGGACTACAGGCACGCACCAGTACACCTGGCCAATTTTTTTTTTTTTTTGTATTTTCTGTAGAGATGGGGTTTCACCATGTTGCCCAGCCTGGTCTTGAACTCCTGAGCTCAAATAATCCACCCACCTCAGTTTTCCAAAGTGTTAGGATTATAGGCGTGAGCTACCACGCCCAGCCAGATATGAGATTTTTGTAATGAGAAAATGATCAGGAGTTATATACCCAGTTCTGGCCCTTTTGCTTGTAGTCTGTAAGAATCATAGGCAAGTGCTTAGTTGATTTTATTTTTAAAAGTAATTCTACAAGTAACATATTTCTTTCTTTCTTTCTTTTTTTTTTAATTTAAAGAGATGGGGTCATACCACGTTGCCCAGTCTGAAATGCCAGTGGCTATTCAGAGGTATGATCATAGTGCACTGCAGCCCCTCTAACTCCTGGCCTCAAGTGATCCTCCTGCCTCAGCCTCCTGAGTGACTGGGACTACAGGCATGCACCACTATGCCTGGATAGTACATTACCTACTTTACAATATTAGAATATTACAGATTAAACAGTTCTGGCTGGGTGTGGTGGCTCACACCTGTAATCCCAGCATTCTGGGAGGCCAAGGTGGGCGGATCACTTGAGGTCAGGAGTTGAGACCAGCCTGGGCAATATGGTGAAATCCCGTCTCTACTAAAAATGCAAAATTAGCCAGGTATGGTGGCACATACGTGCAATCCCAGCTACTTGGGAGGCTGAGGCAGGAGGATTGCTTGAACCCAGGAGACGGAGGTTGCAGTTAGCCGAGATCACGCCACTGCACTCCAGCCTGGGAGACAGAGTTTCACTCTGTCTAAAAACAAAAACAAAAAAAAACTAAACAATTCCTGACCACTTACGTTGCTCTAGTGCTCTCTCCCACTTCCCACCATTCAACATTTAGAGCGGATATTAGGGGAAAGAAATATGTTTGTATTTTTGTTGAATACAAACATTATTCTTGAAGAATATGGGTAATAATGATACTATTGGAGAGGTGGATCTACAGGCTAGAGTGCAGTGGCACAATCACGGCTCACTGCAGTCTCAACCTCCCAAGGCTCAGGTGATCCTCCTGTCCCTTACTCCCAGTAGCTGGGACTAAAGGTGCTTGCCACCATGCCCAGCTAATTTGTGTGTGTGTGTGTGTGTATAGTTTTTTGTTTGTTTGTTTGTTTTTAGTAGAGACAGGGTTTCACCATATTGCCCAGGCAGGTCTCGAACTCCTAGGATCAAGTGATCTGCCTGCCTGAGCCTCCCAAAGTGCTGAGATTATAGGCGTGAGCCACCGCATCTGGCCACAAGTTTTCTATATAGAGGAAACAAATGGAACTCTTAGAGTGGATGAGCTCCCTGAAGCAGAATATAAACCAGGAACCAACACAGATATCAAGTATTCTTTGTTATCATTAAGATACGCAAGATAAATGAGCATGTTTTGAGATAAATTATTATTTTAAAAAGGGAAAGATGGAAGATTCAGGAGAGAACAAGGGCTATTTAATTCATTCAGCAATCATTTGTTGAATGCCTATCAGGCTCTGAGCTTGTTACCAGTGTTTCAAAAATGAAAAGACACAATCCTTCAGGAGCTTGCAAGCATACCTACAATTATGGTGTAATGTGACTGACTGACTTATCAAAAACACATAACATAGCCGGGTCTGGTGGCTCATGCCTGTAACCCCAGCACTTTGGGAGGCTGAGGCAGGAGGATTGCTTGACCTCAGGAGTTTGAGACTAGCCTGGGCCACGTTGTGAGACCCTCATCTCTACAAAAAATAAAAAAATTACCCAGGTGTGGTGATGCGTGCCTGTGGTACCAGTTACTTTGGAGGCTGAGGTAGGAGGATAGCTTGAACCCAGAAGGTTGAGGCTGTAGTGAGTTGTGATTGTACCACTGCACTCCAGCCTGGGTGACAGTGCAAGACTCTGTCTTAAAAAAAAAAGAAAGGAGAGAGAGAGAAAAGGAAGGAAGGAAACTCTTCTACTATATATCTCTAACCCTGCTACTTCCTAAAATTTAGTCTTGTAGCTCCACCACTCCAATAGTGTCATTATTACCCATATCCTTCAAGAATAATGCTTGTATTCAACATGAAAAGAGAAGAAGTTGGCTGGGCACGGTGGTTCACACCTCTAATCCCAGCACTTTGGGAGGCTGAGGCAGGTGGATCTCTTGAGTCCAGGAGTTTGAGACCAGCCTGGGCAACATGGTGAAACCTGTCTCTACAAAAAATACAAAAATTAGCCCGGTGTGGTGGGGCATGCCTGTAGTCCTAGCTACTTGGGAGGCTGAGAGGGGAGGATTGCTTGAGCCCAGGAGGCAGAGGCTGCAGTGAGCTGAGATTGTGCCAATGCACTCCAGCCTGGGGGACAGTGAGACTATGTCTCCGAAAAAAAAGAAAAGAAAAATTAAAGAGAAGAGATTAAGAACAGCATGAAGTAACCTCAACATTAAAGGGGCTGGAAGAGGAAGTTCTAAGAGGAGCCAGTTTAGATATAAGATGACTGAGAAGGACCTACTTACTGGAGAAGGTAGGAAGAGGAATAAGAAAGTAGAACCTTTGTAGCTATGGTGCAGGAGAATGTTAAATAATGTCATGATACACAGAAGTCAAATAAGATGAGGACTGAAAGCTGTCTTTTGGTTTTGGCATACTTGGTGACCTTAGTATGGTTTCTTTAGTGGATAGGAAAGAGGTTTGGAAAGGTAGAAGTGAAGACAAGGACACAACTGAGAGAATAGCAGACATTTTCAAAATACTGGAAGAGGAGAAAGGAAGAGCAAGTAAACAAGGGATTAAGGGAGGAGTTTTTTCCTTCTAGATGGGAGAGACTTCAGTATATTTCTATGTCTGTGAAAGGAGTATAGTGTTCTTATGATGGGAGGGGTGGTATGAGCCCCACAATATTTACAACATTTTAAAAGGTAATTGTGAGTTTTTAAACTTAGTAAATTAAAATATTAATACTAATTATAAATTTAATTAGAAAATTTTAAGTTTTTAAAAAATATTTAGGCAGGCCATCTCAACCAAATGACATGTAAATGTGCAAATATGCCCTTAGATCTAGAGTTTGTATAGTAGATTCTGCTTACTGTAACTACTTTGAGAACAGTGGCTTGTTCCTGTGAATGGAGTGTTCTTGTTTTTTTAAAGGAGAAATTGTGTATAAAAAGGATTTTGATAGTTTTGGGGACAATAGCTAAATACCAGGTTAGAGTCTTTATTTTGTGCAATGTAAGATAATCATTTTTCCGAAAAGAATTTAAGGAAGAAGCCAAGCCTCTTCAAACTGAATCACCCTGCTTAAATTTTATGACATAAAATTTCTGTCTTTCGGCCAGGCATGGTGGCTCACATCTATAATCCCAGCACTTTGGTAGGCCGAGGCAGGTGGATCACTTGAGGTCAGGAGTTCAAGACGAGCCTAACCAACATGGTGAAACCCCGTTTCTACTAAAAATACAAAAAAAATTAGCTGGGCATGGTGGTGCACACTTGTAATCCCAGCTACTAGAGAGGCTGAGGCAGGAGAATCACTTGAACCCACAAGGCGGAGGTTGCAGTGAGCTGAGAGTGCGCCATTGCACTCCAGCCCGGGCAACAAAAGCGAAGCTCCATTTCAAAAAAAAAAAAAAAAAAAATGCTGTCTTTCTTTTCTTGAGATAGACGTGATGGGAAAGTTTGTCAGGAATGTTGTGGGAGTTATGTGAGACAAAAGTGTAACAGAATCCTAGATTTAAAAATATTATGCCATCAAGATATATTTGTATATTATTCATAAATATTACTTAAAGTATTTTATAACTTACAGTATATACATTTTTAACATTCATTATTTTATTTGGCTTACCCAGTAATCTTGGGATGCAGTCAGAGCTCGAGGTATGGAAACAAAGCCAGACGATGACTTGACTGTCCTGGACTGTAGCTGGGACTATAGGCATGTGCCTGCGTCACCACTCCTGAGTAACTTTATAGAGACAGGGTTTTGCCATGTTGCCCAGGCTGGTCTCAAACTCCTGGGCCCAAGCAGTCTGCCCGCGTTGGCCTCCCAAAGTGCTGGGATTATAGATGTGAGCCACCGAGCCTGGCCAGAAATTTTCAACAGCTTTTCGTTTATTGAATTTCTGTTGTGTGCTATTTATATTTTTCAACATTGAGCTAAGAACCAAAAATGGTAATTCTAATACAGTAATATTTAAATAATTAGTTACAGGATATGTGTATTGTTTTAATATGTAGATACACAAATGATTTTTCTTAAGTTGGACCCAATTTTAGTTTTTGAGTCCTTTTTCAAGTGGTTCTACCTATAGATTTGATACTTTATGTTTTGTTCTTTCCTTGAGGTCTTCAAAGAAGGAGAACATTTATTTTTTGAAATTACCATATGGACCTTTTGGTCCCTTTTATATTTCTGTCATATATAACGGGATCTTAGTTATTTGATTTTTTCCTATATCTTGAGATAGTTTGCTATTACATCCTAGGAACTATTTTATTTATTTTTATTTTACTGTAAGTTCTGGGATACATGTGCAGAACATGCAGGTTTGTTACATAGATAGACATGTGTCATGGTGGTTTGCTGTAACTGTCAACCCGTCATCTAGGTTTTAAACCCCGCATGCATTAGGTATTTGTCCTAATACTCTCCCTCCCCTTTCCCCCCACTCCCCAACAGGCCCCGGTGTGTGATGATCCCCTCCCTGTGTCCATGTGTTCTCATTGTTTAGCTCCTACTTATGAATGAGAACATGCAGTGTTTGGTTTTCTGTTCCTAGGAACTATTTTATCTTTACTACTTAGTTATTTCCAACTGTATTAAAAAGAGACCAAAATAATAAGAAAACAGAAAAATGGTGGCATCATCTAGAAGGATAGTGCAATTTTGAAAAAAAAATCCAGTGTTTTATCATCTTCCCAGAAAGTACAAAAGTGTAGAGACAGTATTTTTGTAGTCTTTGCCCTCCTTTTTTTTTTTTTTAACTTTCATTGAACACATTTGAGAATTCAGAATTTTTCATTTTCTGCTCCTAATGACAGGAAGATTTACAAGATGTTTCACAGTTACTAGATGAATCAGGGGATGGTGTAAAGCCAGTGATAGTGGCATCCAAAATTGTAGTGATGTTGAAATTGACCATATAAGGGAAATCTCAGACCATGAGTCTTCAGATGACAATATCCTTGTTCATTTTTCTCAAACTCAGTAATTGATAAGTGAACAAATATTTCTGAGCACAAAAAGTATATATGATTTCTCATATAAGTAGTCATTCAACAGAAAGGATTTTATCATGCAATATTTTGCAAAAAGAACTTGGAGCATCTTGTTTTGCTTTAAAGACATGTGAAAACATTCTTTATCTTCTATATTTGACACAAAAATTTACTTGAGATAGTTCGTTAGTGGACAGATGCTAAAGGTAGGTATGTGTACCTCATCTACAAATGAAAATGGTAATTCTGAAGCAGAGAGAATGTCTGTCTCTTCAAGAAATTATGAGTTGTCAAGGGTTTCAAAAGTAAAGCATCCTATGATACAAGTCCAAGAAGTGGTAGAAGTAAAGAAAAGCTAAAACCTATTAGAAATGTATTTGAGGCCAGGCGCAATGGCTCATGCCTGTAATCCCAGCACTTTGGGAGGCCAAGACAGGCGGATCACCTGAGGTTGGGCGTTCAAGACCAGCCTGGCCAACATGGTGAAACCCCCTAAAAATATAAAAAATTAGCCAGGCATGGTGGCACACGCTTGTAATCCCAGCTACTCGGGAGGCTGAGGTAGGAGAATCGCTTGAAGCTAGGAGGCTGGAGGTTGCATTGAGCCAAGATCACGCCACCGCACTCCAGCCTGGGTGACAGTGTGAGACTCCGTCTCATTCATAGATAGATAGATATAGATATAGACAGATAGATAGATAGATAGATATAGATAGAATTTAAAACCAAGAATCAGTACTTACAAGATGAATGTTCATAGGATTAGGCATGACAGTTGATGAGGAGTTAGTTACATTAAAAAAAAAAAAAAAAAAAAAAACCTGGCCGGGCGCAGCAGCTCACATCTGTAATCCCAGCACTTTGGGAGGCTGAGGCGGGCAGATCATGAGGTCAGGAGATCGAGACCATCCTAGCTAACACAGTGAAACCCCGTCTCTATTAAAAATAAAAAATAAAAAAAAATTAGCCGGGCATGGTGGCAGGCACTTGTAGTCCCAGCTGCTTGGGAGGCTGAGGCAGGAGAATGGCGTGAACCCAGGAGGCAGAGCTTGCAGTGACCTGAGATCACGCCACTGCACTCCAGCCTGGGCGACAGAGCTAGGCTCAATCTCAAAACAAAAACAAAAACAAAAACAAAAACCTTTTGGCCATTCGAGGTGTAGATAACTTTAAAACCAAGTTATTATAGAATAAGAAATTGGGTTTACTCTCTTTTAAAGTCTTAATAAAATGCTTAATGAAGTCGTTTCATTGTTCTCTTATTAAAAGGGTCCATTGTGATACCTGTTTCTCCTGGTATACTGACCATTTAAACATGGACAGAAGTTATTTCCTCTCTGTCTATAATAACTCCTCCTCCTGTTTTCTCTATCACAACACACAGTTTTTTTGTTTTTAATTTTTAGCGCATGAGGGCAGGGCCTATGTTTGTCTTGTTCATGGTTAATCTCCTTACCTAGTGCCTGACACATGTAAATGTGCAATAAAATTTATCAAACAAGTAGTTTCTTTTCTTTTTTTTTTTTTTTTTTGTTCCAGAAGACAGGGTCTCACTCTGTCACCCAGGGTGGAATGCAGTGGTGTGATCGTGGCTCACTGCAACCTCCACCTCCTGGGCTCAAGCGATTTTTCCACCTCAGCCTCCTACAGGCGCGTACCTTTACTGGCCAATTTCTGTATTTTTTTTGTAGAGATGGGTTTTCACTATGTTGCCCAGGCTGGCCTCGAACTCCTGGACTCAAATGATCTGCCTGCCTTGGCCTCCCAAAGTGCTGGGATTACAGGTGTGAGCCACCACGCTTGGTTGTAAACAGGTGGTTTTTTATAAAATCTTTCCTAGGTTAGATTTTTGGGCGTTTGTTAGCCAGAGTATCAACAGATTCACAATATGTATGGATTTAGTCCAGCCTTTTTTTTTTGATGAGATTTACCATATCGCTTCAATTTACCATATATTTTGGTGTTACTAAGCAGATTACTTCTTTTGAAATTTGAGTTATGCTGCCTCTTTTTAGTAAAGAATGTCATTGTTTTTAATACTCTTTTTCTTTCTTTCCTTTCTTTCATCTTACCTGTCCAACATGACAAAGCTAAATTATGATGAAGTTGATCAAGCTGAAAATATTATTCCTCTAATATTTAGCACATGGGATTTTTGTCAGTGGGGGTGGAAGGCAGACCGTAGTTGAAAATTGCATATATGAAGCCAACATGTATTGACCTCCTGCTCACACAGAAGGTCAGCCAGCTCCAAAAATATTTTGTCCTAATGCGTAATAAAATGTTCCCCCTTTTCTTACATTATAGTAAATCAACAGACTGCAAAACTTATACCTTCTATTTGGGCTATCTATGAAAGATACATAGGGATCCCCAAATTGGTGAATATCATATCTGACAAATACAGTCTAATCATGGCATATGTGAATAAGTAGATGATGGACTGTAGTTGGCCAGTGGCTAGACAGTAGTCATTTATTAACTAGGCAACCATTTTGTGCACATCAACTCCTTATCACAGAACCTTTGGCATTACTAAAAGTGTACTGTCAAAACCATGAGTGATAAATCTGTGAACATAAAAGGGTATATTTTATAAATGATACTCTGCCCTTTATTTCCTGAGTTAACTATTTCCTACCTCTAAAATTTCCTCCTATCCTGATTTTTCTCATCAAATAGAAAAGGGATCACAAACCTTAAGATACCTGGAGATAGAAGGGCTTTATTTTTAATAGGGCATGGAGTTGAGTGACTTACGATGTTGTAAAAAGATCATCATAAACTGTGTTCCTCCTACCTTCAGTGAAAGCTCTTTAGCTCCTAGAGAGCAGCAGAGAACTTTATTTGAATAATTGAACTATATACATTTATGTTTTGTGCTTCTTTTCTCTCAGAATTGAACCAGATGAAATAATCATAGAATTGAGGTACAAAATCATAATCTTTAAGTGAAAATCAACCTTCACATTAAAATAAGAATAAAAATGGAATAGTTGTGTAGTATACATTTAGGTAAGCCTAGGATAAAAAGAGAAAGATATGCAACTACTCAAGAACAGAAAAAAAGAACCACTATAGAAAATTTGTTGATGGTTAGAAAATAACAACAAACAACACTAGGTACAGAGATTACATGATCATTTATTAGACCACTAGTCTCACATTTTTACTTCTACTGTAGTGTAGTACCTTTCTATTTCAGACTAATGCCAGTAATCTTTGTAAAATTCAAGTCTGAATTTCTTCAGTGACTTATCATCACTTAAGGATAAAATCAGACTGCTTAGCTTTTAATCATGGGATCCCTTCTTATCTGTCCAGCTTGGTTTTTTTTCACTCTGCCACTCTGCTCTCCATCTCAAACTTTATCTTATAGTAGTAACAGTATTCACCAGATATATTGCATTTCCTCAAGCTTTTTTTTAAAGTGTGGTCCCCAGAGACATCAGCATAACTTGGAAACTAGTTAGAAATACAGTTTCTTGGGCTCTACTTCAAGGCCTACTGAATCAGAAATCCTGCGGGGTAGGGCTAAGCAAGCTAAACAAGCCTTCTTGGTGATTCTGATGTACCTTATATTTGAAAACCACCACCTTAACCCTTTTCTTTTTTAACCTCAGCCATTAACTACCATACTTTCAATATCACTTTTATTTGTGCAACTCTTAATCTACATCTCAAACTCTATGTCAGTCCTATTTTTTAAGTTGTATATTGGACATCTGTCCTGGATATCCTTTCAGTAGTTCAGACTGTCTAGGCCCTGAGCAAAATTCATTATCCATCTCCTGATATCTGCTTTACATACTGTTTCCTATTTTCTCTCAGCCATGCAGCTTTAATTCTTAGATTGTACAATATTTTCTCATTATTTTTTATGTTGTCTTGCCATAGAGGAACAGGAGAAAAAAAGATTTTTTAAAAACTGTACTAACCAAAAAAGGGTGAGGATTTTTCAGGCAATAAAGTTACCATTGTTTGTAGAGCATCTGTTAAAATGTATTTTTATCTTACTTCTTCCCTCCTTCCCTCTGCCTCTTTCCTTGCTATATCCTTCTTTCTCTCTTAAGAACTTAGAGACTGTATTTTGAACCTTAACCTCAGTTGTGCAAGTTCTGTGGCAAAGCTGGACAGGTGAAAGCTTGTACCAGCATCAGATGTTGAAGCCAGGCAACATTTCAGATATCCCTGAACAGTTCTTACAGTAGGTCCTCAATAAATATTTTCTAAATGAGTAAGTTAGCAAGTAGATGAGTCTCAAAAGACTGGGCAGATCTCCAGGGTCAAAAGAGCATGGTGAGATTGTGGCTGGAGATGTAAGAAACTTAAAGGATTTAAGCAATAAGGAGTGAGAAATTTTGATAATAAATGTTTATTAAATGAATAAATGAAAAGCTTTAAAGAACAGATAGCCATTGTCACAAATGGTCAGGTATTTCCTTCTCTGAAGGAGGGATAAATTATTATTTCAGTGAAAACTTTGAAGTTTGATTTTTAGAACTCATGTTTATATGGGTACATCCCATTTTTTTTGATATACATTTAAAATAATTTCTTATGTTGATTTACGTAACAGTATTCTAATGTTTGAGCATATATCTTAGACTATAAATTTTAATTGTTATAGTTTGTTCCATTTTTGTTGAACGGGAAAAACTGATACATATCTTTAAAATTGTATATTTAAATTACCTTACATATGAGGAATTTTTATACTTGAAAGTTATTGTTATTAACTTGTTTTCATAATGTGAGATATTCTGTCATAAAGCACTTATGTTTTAAGTTGTAATTTAAAATACCTTTCTTTTTAACATGCACACAGGAAACCTCGACCTGTCTCCCAGTTGGTTGCACAGCAGGTTACTCAGCAGTTTGTGCCTCCTACACAGTCAAAGAAAGAGAAAAAAGATAAAGTAGAAAAAGAAAAAAGTGAAAAGGAAACAACTAGCAAAAAGAATAGCCATAAGAAAACCAGGTAAATGTGAAGAGTGTTTTATGACATTTTTGAAATAATAAAACCATTTAATTTTTTTAACCTTGACATACTAATATACACAAAGTGGAAGTAAAATATTTGGTCTCCTTTATTATAAGGTATCAGGAAAGGTTTTACTGAGTTTGAAAGATACATAGGAAATTAAACACAGAAGCCAGAAATACAAGCTTAAATGTGATGATGCTTTTTTCTTTTTACGAGATTGGAAGACATTTGTGTCTGGATTTGTTTTGTTTTGTTTTGTTTTTCCCTTAAGAAGAGCTATTTGAACCAGGAGTGGTTTTCAACATACCGAACAGATAATTGCATGGGTTTTAACCTATCAAAATGGTCATGCGTTCAGTCATAACAATCATGATACCCTTATTAGTGTGTGTCAGTGGAGTAACAGTCTTCCTTGCATATAGCTCAACCTTAGCTTTTATCACCTTCCTCCATGGTGCAACTATTTCATTGTTGTCTAAAACATCTATTTTAATAAAATTAATAAGCTGTCTGCAAAATTATGATACAGCTATAGAAGCACAAGTTCTACTTCTAGGCTGTCACAGTTTTTTGGTTGCATTGAAGAATGTTCATGAATGATTGGTTTGATTAATGTTAATGAGTTGAAACATTTTATGATGTTTTTGTGGCTAGTTACACATAAATTGCCTTAAATACATGTATTCATTTTGTTACTTTTACCACTTTTATTATTTATTATATGCTCAGAAATTTGGTAGAGGGAAAAGCTAGTTTAAAATTTCATTTTTTTATGTTTAGGCCAAGATTGAAAAATGTGGATCGGAGTAGTGCTCAGCATTTGGAAGTTACTGTTGGAGATCTGACAGTCATTATTACAGACTTTAAGGAGAAAACAAAGTCACCGCCTGCATCTAGTGCTGCTTCTGCAGATCAACACAGTCAAAGCGGCTCTAGCTCTGATAACACAGAGAGAGGAATGTCCAGGTCATCTTCACCCAGAGGAGAAGCCTCATCATTGAATGGAGAATCTCATTAAAGTTTATTTTCTCCAATTTCTTAGTCACTTCTGTCCTACCATGCAAATACACAGATTATGCCAAGAGGTACCACATTTTCATGACAGATACATTCATGCACAATCCATAATTTGAGTTTTACATAAAATAGAAATTTGTTAGAATTTGTTAGATTTTATTGCAATGATGCCTACCAAACATTTCCAGACTTAACATTTTGGTCTCTGCAGTTAAGTGCCATGAAAATGTGGTTGAATTATTCATTATGCAGTGTTATTGGTAAGTGTATTTTCACTTTTAGTTTAGTGAATTCTAACACATAATTCTTGAATTCTCTACTATTGGCATGTAACGAATTTAAATTTTTTATAACATAGTGCAAGCTGCCTAAATATGTATTATTTGAGAATTGTGAAACAGATAGTTATATGTATACAAGTCAAAGAACAACTTAACTATTGCTGCAACAGGTTTTTCTTAATGGTTATCCTCTTAAATACACCTGCTGGTACTTGGTGTGGTTAAATAGGAAAATTGTTATTAAATAAAGAATTTGTATGAACCTTTGCCAATGTTTTTGACACGTTTTACTAATTATTGTTCCTGAATTATGTTTCTGGTTTTATCTATTTTTTGAGGTTTTTTTGTTTGCTTATTTTTCAAAACATTCATTTATTGTAATGTTTACTAGCGGACTAGTAAACAATAAAACATTGATTATTTAGCTTTATAATTCAGGTTTAGTGCTATTGTCATTGAACACTGGTATTTTCTGTATCATATAAAACATTAAAATTCAAATAATTATAAGCATTTGGCAAAAACAAGAGAAAAGAAACTTGCCATATTTTACAAGCTGCAATTTTAGAAAAGCTTTAACTTAATGATAGTTTTATCATTGTTTTCTTGTCCCAAACTTATCCAGGGCCATAGAAGTATGAATCTAATTAAAACAGAAATGGGAATTATTGCACAGAAATGGGAAATAACTAATTTTAAATCAGTCAAATTGGCTTCTTATTAAATACAATAATTCTTATGAAAATCATAGTACCCTATTTTCAGACACAGCTGCCAGTTTACACATTTCTCAGTATCCTGAAAGGAAAAAAGTATAGCCCCACTTATACTATGTAAAATTACCAATAAAATATTTTTATGACTACAGATTTTGCATTTTTGTTTACAACTATTTAAAGAGTTTTATGTTGTATTTAGAATTTCAACCTAGAAACCACACAGTACTTAAATTCTCCTGGGGTCTCCTGCTTTCTCTTAACCATTTGCTTAATATATATCTACCTAAAGGAGACTTCTGAATTGTAAATGAACTTAAAAATAGAATGTGGATGCAAAATATCACATAAGACATCATGATAACATTTGAAGAAAAAATAAAACTGTAGACCCTAACAGTTGTGATATTTGGTGGTTTCATGTGGTAATGTAATTTTCTGTTTAATTACAGTACTTTTTACAGGCACAGTGGTACTGTCTTTTTTGTAAGATGCTAGTTGTGAAATACAATTAATTGCATACAGTAAAAGTCTGTGATTAAAACATTTATATACCTCATTCTTTAGTGTTGTTAAATGAAAAATTAAAATTTGTGTTTATTATAAGATACTTTCAATGGAATACCAGCTAACCAGATATGTTCCTTTAAAACATGAATTTTTTTGTCTTATTCTGTTTTTAACATGTTTCAAATGTTTTATACATTTTTGGAGATAGTAAAAATTTAAAAATGTAATAGGGAAAATATTTAATTTTTAAGTCAAAAACTATGCTTTAAAGGAATTACATCTTATGATCAAATAACTTTCAGGATGTATTTTAAATGAGCTGCAAGAGAGAAAAATCTGACAGGAGATGGGATTTTACCTGAATGGAGCATACTCATATTTCTACATAGGTGGGAAGATACTCATCTTTCTACATAGACGGGAACACGGTGTAGCATGGAGATTAAGCGTGCTAACTGACACCTCATGTTTGAATCCTGTTGTAGAATGGAAATGAGCTTAAATTACCCAAGCTTACTTTCCATCTATAAAACAGGGCTAATAATGGTAATCACATCTAATTTATAGGGTTTTTGGGAGGATTAAGTCAATCCGTGTAAAATTCTTAATTATCTGACACATACTGGTCACTCAGTAAATGTGAGCTTTTACCATTGTTATAGGTAAAATCCCATTACAAAAATACAAAAATATTTTTTGTAACAGTTATTTTCCTGCCCTCTTGGATGACCTAAAGTAATAGTGTTTTATAGATTTCACTAAATTTTCAGTGTAATATCAGATGTTTTCTCTGGATGCAGAAAGACCATCTTTCCATAATTAAAGAACCTGGTGGGTGTGCACTATGAGATTGGAGAAATGAATTAAGTTGACTTGAAATTATTTTACTTTTATTAATCACAGGTATCTCAACCTGCCTTTGTTTCACCCTACTTCAAGTACACTTCCACACCAGGAAAACAGACCCAAATTCCATAAACAGAACTGACGTTAAAATATGCGAAAGATTCAGAACCTAGGTTTAGGGTACATGTTTTTCTCTGTTTCATGAACTTACAGTGTGGTTTGAGCACTGGGTTCTTTTAGCCAAATTCCATACAAAAAGAATTTGGATGTTTTCCAGCATTTATTACCTTACTTTGCTATAAGTAAGAGTGAAGATAGGCCGGGTGTGATGGCTCATGCCAGTAATCCCAGCACTTTGGGCTGAAGCAGGCAGATATTTTGAGCCCAGGACCAGCCTGGGCAACATGGTGAAAGCTCATCTCTATGAAAAAATTTGAATATACATATATATATATATGTATATTTAAAAAGTGAATATAATTTGAGGCACAGAAGAATATTCTTAAAACCTTTTGTATTATACAATAGAAATAAAGGTTTTATTTTTATTAAATGCTTTCCTAAAATGATAGTGGATAATAGACAAAGTGAAAACATTTAAAAAGGAAGAGAAACTTCAGCCTTTCTAAGTTGATAGCATGTTTATTAACTTTTAGATAAAGATCCTTATAGACTGAAAGAATGTAGCCTCTGCATTAATGGTAAATGGTCTAGAAGTTTTCGTTTCCACTGAGGCTTCCGCCACTCGCTTTTTTAAACTTCCTGCTATGGTTTGGATATGGTTTGTCCTCACCAAAACTCATGCTGAGGCCTGAGTCCCCAGTTTGATTGTGTTGGTAGGTGGTGCCTTTAAGAGGTGATTAGGTCATTGAGATGGATTAAAGGCTTTCTCATGAGGCTCAGTTAGTTCTGGAATGGATTCGCTCTTGCAGGAATGGATGAATTCTCACAAGAGTGGGTTGTTATGAAGTGAGGATGCTTCTTGTGTTCTGTTCTCTTTGCCCTCCTCAGTTCACCATCTGCTTTCCACCATGAGTTGAAGCAGCATGAGGCCCTCATCAGATGGGCTCCCTGATCTTGGACTCCTCAGCCTTTGGACTCATAAGCCAAAATAAATCTGTTTTCTTTATAAATTGCCC